>NC_000010.11:83779458-83930974 GCF_000001405.40 Homo sapiens
ATAGTGGAAAACATTTTTGCATTTCCTCAGGGATATGACTTTGGAGTTGATATGATATTATAGTCAGCTGCTTTGACTTGGCCCTTACTCGATGTGTCAAGAAGCCAATGAAGGCATTTTATGAGTTGTTATAAGTAGGTACTTACTTACAATAATACCAGGAAGTACCCTGGACCTGGAGTATGTACAGTATGTACAGGATCTTACTGGTTTGATAATAAAATACATATACAGAGAACAATATAATAGAAAAAACAGAGATTAATAGAACTAGGTCCTTACTCTGAATAGTGGAATGTAGTGGTATTAAGGGGCCCAGAGAACGGGTGTCATTCCAGGAGCCAGTGTCTAATACATTTTGTAGAGTCTGGATATTTCTTTTTCCACTGCACTGTTATACTGGAAAATAGCCCTAGGCCCCTTTATGGGAGTCTAGGAGTACAATAGTTCTTGCTGCTGATGTTGTTAACCCGTTTTCAAGATTGCACAGCCTCCCCTTTATTAAATAAACCCTGTGTTTTTTAACTGGCTCAGATTAGGGCATTAGATGGGAACTATGGCTCTCTTCTGGTTGCCCTATGTTTACAGGATTTTAAATTTGTTTGATTTTCTTCCTAGTTACATGAGAAACTTAGTGACCTGCCTATGTATTTGTTATTACGCCCCACAAAGATAATTTCACAGCAGATTGTTCTGATCCTTAATGCTGCCGTTTTGGCCCCTGTAATTCCCTGACTCCCATAACCACTACTGCCTGTGATTACCTATGATTTTATTATTTTCACTGAAATTAAGGAACATATTTCAGCCACCGGAGCACCTACCAGCACCTCTGACCTTCAGAGAAGAGCTTAGTTTGAACGGGATTGCACGTGTTAAATCCATTCCAATATCTGTGTCTCCTTAAGTCTCTGGAGTTCTTTTTTTTTTTTTAACTGATCTCTAAATGTATATTAAAGGGGTACAAGTGCAGATTTCGTACTTGCATATATTGTGTAGTGGTGAAGTCTGGGCTTTCAGTATACCCATAACCTAGTGAGCATTGTACTCAATAGATAATTTCTCAACCCTCAACTCTCTACCTTTTGGAGTCTCTGATACCTATTATTCCACGCTGTATGTCCATGTGTACACATTGTTTAGCTCCCAATTACAATCGATAACATGCAGTATTTCACTTTCTGTTTCTGAATTATTTCACCTAGGATAATGGCTGCCAGTCCCATCCATGTTGTTGAGAAGACAAGATTTTATTCGTTTTATGGCTGAGTAGTATTCCATGGTATGTATCACATTTTCTTTATCCAATCCCTCACTGATGAATACTTAGGTTGATTCCATGACTTTGCTCTTGTGAAAAGTGCTGCAATAGGCATATCAGTCCAGATGTCTTTTCGATATAATAATTTCTTTTGCTTCATTCATTTACTCAGTAGTGGCATTGCTGTATTGAAAGGTAGTGCTATTTTTACTTCTTTGAAAAATATTTATATTTCTGTCAGCAGTGTATAGGTGTTCCCTTTTCTGTGCAACCTGGCCTACATCTGCTGGGTTTTTTGGTTTTTTTTTTTTTTTTTTGACTTCTTTTTTTTTTATTTTTTATTTTTTATTATTATACTTTTAGTTTTAGGGTACATGTGCACATTGTGCAGGTTAGTTACATATGTATACATGCGCCATGCTGATGCGCTGCACCCACTAACTCCTCATCTAGCATTGGTTATATCTCCCAATGCTATCCCTCCCCCCTCCCCCCACCCCACAACAGTCCCCAGAGTGTGATATTCCCCTTCCTGTGTCCATGTGATCTCATTATTCAATTCCCACCTATGAGTGAGAATATGTGGTGTTTGGTTTTTTGTTCTTGCGATAGTTTACTGAGAATGATGATTTCCAATTTCGTCCATGTCCCTACAAAGGACATGAACTCATCATTTTTTATGGCTGCATAGTATTCCATGGTGTATATGTGCCACATTTTCTTCATCCAGTCTATCATTGTTGGACATTTGGGTTGGTTCCAAGTCTTTGCTATTGTGAATAATGCCGCAATAAACATACGTGTGCATGTGTCTTTATAACAGCATGATTTATAGTCCTTTGGGTATATACCCAGTAAAGGGATGGCTGGGTCAAATGGTATTTCCAGTTCTAGATCCTTGAGGAATCGCCACACTGACTTCCACAATGGTTGAACTAGTTTACAGTCCCACCAACAGTGTAAAAGTGTTCCTATTTCTCCACATCCTCTCCAGCACCTGTTGTTTCCTGACTTTTTAATGATTGCCATTCTAACTGGTGTGAGATGGTATCTCATTGTGGTTTTGATTTGCATTTCTCTGATGGCCAGTGATGGTGAGCATTTTTTCATGTGTTTTTTGGCTGCATAAATGTCTTCTTTTGAGAAGTGTCTGTTCATGTCCTTCGCCCACTTTTTGATGGGGTTGTTTGTTTTTTTCTTGTAAATTTGTTTGAGTTCATTGTAGATTCTGGATATTAGCCCTTTGTCAGATGAGTAGGTTGCGAAAATTTTCTCCCATTTTGTGGGTTGCCTGTTCACTCTGATGGTAGTTTCTTTTGCTGTGCAGAAGCTCTTTAGTTTAATTAGATCCCATTTGTCAATTTTGGCTTTTGTTGTCATTGCTTTTGGTGTTTTAGACATGAAGTCCTTGCCCATGCCTATGTCCTGAATGGTAATGCCTAGGTTTTCTTCTAGGGTTTTTATGGTGTTAGGTATAACATTTAAGTCTTTAATCCATCTTGAATTGATTTTTGTGTAAGGTGTAAGGAAGGAATCCAGTTTCAGCTTTCTACATATGGCTAGCCAGTTTTCCCAGCACCATTTATTAAATAGAGAATCCTTTCCCCATTGCTTGTTTTTCTCAGGTTTGTCAAAGATCAGATAGTTGTAGATATGCGGCGTTATTTCTGAGGGCTCTGTTGTGTTCCATTGATCTATATCTCTGTTTTGGTACCAGTACCATGCGTTTTGGTTACTGTAGCCTTGTAGTATAGTTTGAAGTCAGGTAGTGTGATGCCTCCAGCTTTGTTCTTTTGGCTTAGGGTTGACTTGGCAATGCAGCCTCTTTTTTTGGTTCCATATGAACTTTAAAGTAGTTTTTTCCAATTCTGTGAAGAAAGTCATTGGTAGCTTGATGGGGATGGCATTGAATCTGTAAATTACCTTGGGCAGTATGGCCATTTTCACGATATTGATTCTTCCTACCCATGAGCATGGAATGTTCTTCCATTTGTTTGTATCCTCTTTTACTTCATTGAGCAGTGGTTTGTAGTTCTCCTTGAAGAGGTCTTTCACATCCTTGTAAGTTGGATTCCTAGGTATTTTATTCTCTTTGAAGCAATTTTGAATGGGAGTTCACTCATGATTTGGCTCTCTGTTTGCCTGTTGTTGGTGTATAAGAATGCTTGTGATTTTTGTACATTGATTTTGTATCCTGAGACTTTGCTGAAGTTGCTTAATCAGCTTAAGGAGATTTTGGGCTGAGACAATGGGGTTTTCTAGATATACAATCATGTCGTCTGCAAACAGGGACAATTTGACTTCCTCTTTTCCTAATTGAATACCCTTTATTTCCTTCTCCTGCCTAATTGCCCTGGCCAGAACTTCCAACACTATGTTGAATAGGAGTGGTGAGAGAGGGCATCCCTGTCTTGTGCCAGTTTTCAAAGGGAATGCTTCCAGTTTTTGCCCATTCAGTATGATATTGGCTGTGGGTTTGTCATAGATAGCTCTTACTATTTTGAAATATGTCCCATCAATACCTAATTTATTGAGAGTTTTTAGCATGAAGGGTTGTTGAATTTTGTCAAAGGCTTTTTCTGCATCTATTGAGATAATCATGTGGTTTTTGTCTTTGGTTCTGTTTATATGCTGTATTACATTTATTGATTTGCGTATATTGAACCAGCCTTGCATCCCAGGAATGAAGCCCACTTGATCATGGTGGATAAGCTTTTTGATGTGCTGCTGGATTCGGTTTGCCAGTATTTTATTGAGGATTTTTGCATCAATGTTCATCAAGGATATTGGTCTAAAATTCTCTTTTTTTGTTGTGTCTCTGCCTGGCTTTGGTATCAGAATGATGCTGGCCTCATAAAATGAGTTAGGGAGGATTCCCTCTTTTTCTATTGATTGGAATAGTTTCAGAAGGAATGGTACCAGTTCCTGCTTGTACCTCTGGTAGAATTCGGCTGTGAATCCATCTGGTCCTGGACTCTTTTTGGTTGGTAAGCTATTGATTATTGCCACAATTTCAGATCCTGTTATTGGTCTATTCAGAGATTCAACTTCTTCCTGGTTTAGTCTTGGGAGAGTGTATGTGTCGAGGAATTTATCCATTTCTTCTAGATTTTCTAGTTTATTTGTGTAGAGGTGTTTGTAGTATTCTCTGATGGTAGTTTGTATTTCTGTGGGATCAGTGGTGATATCCCCTTTATCCTTTTTTTTGTGTCTATTTGATTCCTCTCTCTTTTTTTCTTTATTAGTCTTGCTAGCGGTCTATCAATTTTGTTGATCCTTTCAAAAAACCAGCTCCTGGATTCATTAATTTTTTGAAGGGTTTTTTTGTCTCTATTTCCTTCAGTTCTGCTCTGATTTTAGTTATTTCCTGCCTTCTGCTAGCTTTTGAATGTGTTTGCTCTTGCTTTTCTAGTTTTTTTAATTGTGATGTTAGGGTGTCAATTTTGGATCTTTCCTGCTTTCTCTTGTGGGCATTTAGTGCTATAAATTTCCCTCTACACACTGCTTTGAATGCGTCCCAGAGATTCTGGTATGTTGTGTCTTTGTTCTCATTGGTTTCAAAGAACATCTTTATTTCTGCCTTCATTTCGTTATGTACCCACTAGTCATTCAGGAGCAGGTTGTTCAGTTTCCATGTAGTTGAGCGGTTTTGAGTGAGATTCTTAATCCTGAGTTCTAGTTTGATTGCACTGTGGTCTGAGAGATAGTTTGTTATAATTTCTGTTCTTTTACATTTGCTGAGGAGAGCTTTACTTCCAAGTATGTGGTCAATTTTGGAATAGGTGTGGTGTGGTGCTGAAAAAAATGTATATTCTGTTGACTTGGGGTGGAGAGTTCTGTAGATGTCTATTAGGTCCGCTTGGTGCAGAGCTGAGTTCAATTCCTGGGTATCCTTGTTGACTTTCTGTCTTGTTGATCTGTCTAATATTGAGAGTGGGGTGTTAAAATCTCCCATTATTAATGTGTGGGAGTCTAAGTCTCTTTGTAGGTCACTCAGGACTTGCTTTATGAATCTTGGTGCTCCTGTATTGGGTGCATATATATTTAGGAGAGTTAGCTCTTCTTGTTGAATTGATCCCTTTACCATTATGTAATGGCCTTCTTTGACTCTTTTGATCTTTGTTGGTTTAAAGTCTGTTTTATCAGAGACTAGGATTGCAACCCCTGCCTTCTTTTGTTTTCCATTTGCTTGGTAGATCTTCCTCCATCCTTTTATTTTGAGCCTATGTGTGTCTCTGCACGTGAGATGGGTTTCCTGAATACAGCACACTGATGGGTCTTGACTCTTTATCCAATTTGCCAGTCTGTGTCTTTTAATTGGAGCATTTAGTCCATTTACATTTAAAGTTAATATTGTTATGTGTGAATTTGATCCTGTCATTATGATGTTAGCTGGTGATTTTGCTCGTTAGTTGATGCAGTTTCTTCCTAGTCTCGATGGTCTTTACATTTTGGCATGATTTTGCAGCGGCTGGTACCGGTTGTTCCTTTCCATATTTAGCGCTTCCTTCAGGAGCTCTTTTAGGGTAGGCCTGGTGGTGACAAAATCTCTCAGCATTTGCTTGTCTGTAAAGTATTTTATTTCTCCTTCACTTATGAAGCTTAGTTTGGCTGGATATGAAATTCTGGCTTGAAAATTCTTTTCTTTAAGAATGTTGAATATTGGCCCCCACTCTCTTCTGGCTTGTAGGGTTTCTGCCGAGAGATCCGCTGTTAGTCTGATGGGCTTCCCTTTGAGGGTAACCCAACCTTTCTCTCTGGCTGCCCTTAACATTTTTTCCTTCATTTCAATTTTGGTGAATCTGACAGTTATGTGTCTTGGAGTTGCTCTTCTCGAGGAGTATCTTTGTGGCGTTCTCTGTATTTCCTGAATCTGAACATTGGCCTGCCTTGCTAGATTGGGGAAGTTCTCCTGGATAATATCCTGCAGCATGTTTTCCAACTTGGTTCCATTCTCCCCATCACTTTCAGGTGCACCAATCAGACGTAGATTTGGTCTTTTCACATAGTCCCATATTTCTTGGAGGCTTTGCTCATTTCTTTTTATTCTTTTTTCTCTAAACTTCCCTTCTTGCTTCATTTCATTCATTTCATCTTCCATTGCTGATACCCCTTCTTCCAGTTGATCGCATCGGCTCCTGAGGCTTCTGCATTCTTCACGTATTTCTCGAGCCTTGGTTTTCAGCTCCATCAGCTCCTTTAAGCACTTCTCTGTATTGGTTTTCTAGTTATACATTCTTCTAAATTTTTTTCAAAGTTTTCAACTTCTTTGCCTTTGGTTTGAATGTCCTCCCGTAGCTCAGAGTAATTTGATCGTGTGAAGCCTTCTTCTCTCAACTAGTCAAAGTCATTCTCCATCCAGCTTTGTTCTGTTGCTGGTGAGGAACTGCATTCCTTTGGAGGAGGAGAGGCGCTCTGCTTTTTAGAGTTTCCAGCTTTTCTGTTCTGTTTTTTCCCCATCTTTGTGGTTTTATCTACTTTTGGTGTTTGATGATGGTGATGTACACATGGGTTTTTGGTGTGGATGTCCTTTCTGTTTGTTAGTTTTCCTTCTAACAGACAGGACCCTCAGCTGCAGGTCTGTTGGAATACCCTGCTGTGTGAGGTGTCAGTGTGCCCCTGCTGGGGGGGTGCCTCCCAATTAGGCTGCTCAGGGGTCAGGGATTAGGGACCCACTTGAGGAGGCAGTCTGCCCGTTCTCAGATCTCCAGCTGTGTGCTGGGAGAACCACTGCTCTCTTCAAAGCTGTCAGACAGGGACATTTAAGTCTGCAGAGGTTACTGCTGTCTTTTTGTTTGTCTGTGCCCTGCCCCCAGAGGTGGAGCCTACAGAGGCAGGCAGGCCTCCTTGAGCTGTGGTGGGCTCCACCCAGTTCGAGCTTCTGGGCTGCTTTGTTTACCTAAGCAAGCCTGGGCAATGGCGGGCGCCCCTCCCCCAGCCTCGCTCCCGCCTTGCAGTTTGATCTCAGACTGCTGTGCTCGCAATCAGCGAGATTCCGTGGGCGTAGGACCCTCCAAGCCAGGTGCGTAATATAACCTCGTGGTGTGCCGTGTTTTAAGCCAGTCGGAAAAGCGCAGTATTCGGGTGGGAGTGACCCGATTTTCCAGGTGCCGTCTGTCACCCCTTTCTTTGACTAGGAAAGGGAACTCCCTGACCCCTTGCGCTTCCCGAGTGAGGCAATGCCTCGCCCTGCTTCGGCTGGCGCACGGTGAGCGCACCCGCTGACCTGCGCCCACTGTCTGGCACTCCCTAGTCAGATGAACCCGGTACCTCAGATGGAAATGCAGAAATCACCCCTCTTCTGCGTCGCTCATGCTGGGAGCTGTAGGCCGGAGCTGTTCCTATTCGGCCATCTTGGCTCCTCCCCCTCTTGACTTCTTAATAATAGTCGCTCTAACCGGTATATGATGGTATCTCACTGTGATTTTAACTTGCATTTCTAATGATTAGTTATGTTGAATATTTTTTCCATATGCTAGTTGGACACTTGTGTGTCTTCTTTGGATCAATGTGTGTTAATGTCTTTTTCCGACTTTCTAATGGAGTTATTTGCTTTTCTCTTTTTCTTTTTTTTTGAGATGGAGTCTCACTCTGTCACCCAGGCTGGAGTGCAGTGGTGCTATCTCAGCTTACTGCAACCTCTGCCTCCCAAGTTCAAACAATTCTCCTGCCTCAGCCTCCCAAATAGCTGGGATTCCAGGTGTGTGCCACAGCACCTGGCCAATTTTTGTGTTTTTAGTAGAGATGGAGTTTCACCATGTTGGTCAGGCTGGTCTCAAACTCCTGACCTCGTGATCCGCCCTCCTTGGACTCCCAAAGTACTGGGATTACAGGCATGAGCCACAGTGCCTGGCCTATTTGGATTTTTCTTATTGAATTATTTTAGTTCCTCATAGATTCTGAATATTAGTCTTTGTCAAATGCATAATTTGCAAATATTTTCTTCCATTCTGTAAGTTATCTGTTTACTCTTTTGGTTATTTCTTTCGCTTTACAGAAGTTTTTTTGGTTTAATTAAGTCCCATTTGTCAATTTTTGTTTCTGTTGCTTCTGCTTTTGATGTTTCAGTCATAAATTTTTTGCTTAGGCCAGTGTCTAAAAGAATATTTTTCTAGATTTTCTCCTAGGATTTTTATAGTTTCAGGACTTACATTTAAGTCCTTAGCCCACCTTGAGCTAAGTTTTTTTATATGGTGAGAGGTAGGAATCCAGTTTTATTCTTCTGCATATGGCTATGCAATTTTCCCAGCATCATTTATTGAATAGGGTGTCCTTTCCTCACTCTATATTTTTGTCAACTTTGTCAAGATCAGTTAACTGTAGGTGTGTGGCTTTATTTCTGGGTTCTCTGTCCTATTTCATTGATCTATGTGTCTAGTTATTGTGATTTGGTTATTGTAGCATTTTAGTATGATTTGAATTCAAGTAATGAGCCTTCTTCTGCTTTGTCTTTTTTGCTCAAGATTCCTTTGGCTACTTCGGGTCTTTTTTGGTTTCATATGAATTTTAGATTTTTTTTTTAATTCTATGAAGAGTGATGTTGGTAACTTGATAGGAATTACATTGAAGCTGTAGATTGCTTTGGAAAGAATGGTCATTTTAATGATATTGATTCTTCCAATCCATGAGCGTAAGCTGTTTTCTCATTTGTTTATATTACCTGCGATTTCTTTCCTCAGGATTTTGTTGTTATTCTTGCATGGGTCTTTCACTTCCTTGGTTAAACATAACCCTAGGGTGTTTTGTGTGTGTGTGGTTATTGCAAATAGAATGGAGTTCTTGATTTGATTCTCAGCTTGATCATTGTTGGTGTATAGAAATGCTACTAATTTTTTCACATTGATTTTGTATTTTAAGACTTCCATGAAGTCATTTATCAAATCTAGGAGTCTTTTGGAGGAGTTTCTAAGGTTTTCTAGATATAAGATCATATCATCTGCAAACAGATAATCTTGACTTCTGCTTTTCCAATTTTAAAGTCCTTCTTTTTCTCTTGCCTAGTTACTCTGGTGAGGACTTCCAGTATCATGTTAAATTAGATTGTTAAAAGTGAGCATCCTTGTCTTTTTCCAGTTCTTATGGGAAACTTTTTCAACCTTTCCTAATTCAGTATGATGGTGGCTGTGGGTTTGTTGTATAGGGCTTTTATTATTTTGAGTTATGTTCCTTTTATGCCCGATTTGCTGAGAATTTTTATCATGAGATGATGCAGGAGTTTACCAAATGATTTTTCTGCATCTATTGAATAATCATGTGGTTTTTGTTTTTAATTCTTTTTATATGATGTAGCATATCTATTAATTTATATATGTTGAACCATCCATGCATCACTGGAATAAATCCCACTTGATTGTGGTGCATTATTATTTTAATGTGCTGTTGGATTCAGTTTGCTAGTATGTTGTTGAGGATTATTGCATCTATGTTCACCAGGGATATTGGCCTGTAGTTTTCTTTTTTTATTGTGTTCTTTCCTGGCTTCTGTATCAGGGTGATGCTAAGACCAAAATGTAGACTATGTTAGGAAGGATTTCCTCCTAGGATTTTAAGAAAAGTTTCAGTAAGATTGATTCAGTTCTTCCTTGTATGTCTGGTAGAATTTGGGTGAAAATTCATCTTGTCCTGGTTTTTTGTTGTTGCTGTTTTTGTTATTGGGATTTTTTTAAATTACAGACTGAAATGTGCTGTTATTCTTTCAGGATTTCCTTCACAGTTGATTAGGCTTCTGTTTTACTGCTTTGAAGATTTTTTCCTTCACATTGACATTGGAGGATGTGATGACTATGTGCCTTGGTAAGGTTCATCTTGCAGTGTATCTCCCAGGAGTTCTCTGGGCTTTTTTGTATCTGAATGTCTAAATCTCTTGGAAGACCAGAGAAGTTTTCAGGAATTATTCTTTCAAATAGGTTTTTCATAGTTTTTGCTTTTTCCTCCTCTCTCTCTGGAATGCCAATAACTGATAGATTTTGATGCTTTACATAATCTCATGTTTCTCAAAGGCTTGGTTCATTTTTTATTGTTTTTTATTATTTTTTCTGACTGAGTTAATTGTAAAGTCTTGTCTTTCAGTTCTAAAATTCTGTCTTCTGCTTGGTCTAGCCTATTGTTAAAGCTTTCAACTGTATTTAGTAAATTCTTTCAATAATTTTTTTATTTCCAGGAGTTCTGTTTGCTTTTACTTAAAAAAATTAGTGTCTTCTTTCATATTCTGTATTTCTTTTCTGATTTATGTTGGCTTCCAACTTTCTCTTGGATCTCATTGAGATTCCTTACAATTCATATTTTAAATTTTTTATCTGTCATTTCAGAGTTTTTATTTGTTTAGAATCCATGGCAAGAGAGCTGATTTGTTTCTTTGGGATGTTGTAATGCGCTGCTTTTTTCATACTGCCTCAGTTCCTACACTGAGTGCTCATTTGGCTTCAGTTCTTTGTGTTTTCAAGGTTCCAAAGCTTTGTATGAGTTCATTGGTTATAGACAGTCTTTGTGCAGCAGCTTTCTCAAATGATGGTTGTAGTAATGATGTACTTGGCATATGAGCAAGCTCATTGCCTTCTGCAAGACTGGGGTTGCATAGGTCTCAGGAATGTTATTTCTTTCCCCAGCACTATGCACTTCTGTCAGCAGGTTTTGTACTGAGTTGTGCAGTTCAACCTCCAGGCCAGTACGTGGCACTTAGGGGTAAGAGCTGGCTTCAGCAGAAGCAGGTGAGGATGTACTTGATCTTTGTTTACTGGGAGGTGCTCTGATATTTCAGGTGATGGTCTGGGCTGTGGAATGCTTCATGCCTTGGGTTCCTTGCTTAGCCTGGGGGATGAGGGAACAAAGCTTGGTGGAGCTGGATCACCAAGCTTGTCTACAAATAGCTAATGACAAGTACAGACACCAGCCCTGACACAGTGTCAGGGAGAACTGGTGACATGCATTGAGGTCTGCACAGGGCCAGGGAGGCAGCTGCACCAACTCCATGTCCTAAGAAGGCAAGAATGCAATTCATTTCCCTATCACCCCCATGTCCCAGGACTCGAGACTCTCAGCTCAGTAAGACACTGTCCTCTATCTCCAGAACACAATGTAGCTGAGACCAGTAGAAAACACCAGTCCCGGAGTTTTCTACGGAAGAGGCTTTGGGGCAAAACCTCTTTCTTCAGCCCAATACAGACAGCGTTGTGACTTGTATGTTTTCCAATGCAGGAATGCTGCTGTTTTTTTGGCGGGGGGTGGGGGGTGGGGTGCAGTGGGGTTGGGGAACCGGCTCTGCCTTTTGGTGAGTGCAGGTGGGTACCAGCTGTGGTGGTGTCGGCTGGTTGGGTCAGGCTGACCTCAGATCCCAGGGGGAAGTGTCAGTTGCCAGTGGTAATGGACAGGGCTAGGCAATCCCCCCAGTCTCCAGTCCCCTAGACTGCCCTCCAGATGGCATATACAAGTCCTGAAGGAACTGGACTGGGACACAATCAGCAGACTTGTCTTCAGGTCCATGGGGTTCAGGTGCTGGCTGTGATCAGAAACAGTAGGCTGGTTCCCAGGCTACCAGCAGAATGTTCAGGTTGGAGCAGAGTGACTGTGCTGCAGACCTGCTGCCAGAGAAGGCAGGCCCCTCTCAGTGTAGGCAGGCAGCCATGAGGTGCCAGTTGGTACACTCCCCAGTCACACAGCAGCAGCAATGGTATCTGTCACTGGGGAGTGTGAAGGTGCCCAGTCTCCCTGCTCCCTCCCTGGTCTGGTGGCAGAGGTGGTAGTGGCAGCAGTGGTGGCTGTGGCAGCCCCCGGGCAGAAAGCAGACCTCTGGGAACCAGTCTCTCAGAATAGCACCAGGCCTGCCACTGAAATGCTCAGGCAGCGGCAGGGTGGCTATGCTGCTGGATGGCCACTGAGAAAGCTAGCCCTCTCTCAGTGGAAGCAGTGAAGGCAAGCAGCTGTTAGGGTGCACTGTTCAAGAACTCCTCTGTCCGCAGCAGCAGGGGTGGCGTCTGTCCTTGGAGACTGTGAAGATGCCCAGTATCCCTACTCCCTCCCTGGCCCAGTGGCAGCAGTGGCAATGACAGCCCCAGGGCAAAATGCAGGTCTCTGGGGGCTGAGCTTTCAGAATGGTGCTGGGCAGCAGCTGCTCAGGGTTCAAAAGCCTGTGGGACTCTAGGTGAGTTTGAGTAGTGCCTCTATGCAACCTCCAGGCAGCTCTCCATGTTAGTCTGGAGGTCCAGTGGGATCGGGGGTCTAGGAGCTCTCCCATTACCAAGATTGCAAAAGTCCCTGGAGAAAGTGTGGAGCCCCAGGGGTTCCTCACTCACCCCTTCCCAGCATCAGAGAGCTTCTCAAACTCCACACCAGTCCCAGGCCAGCAGCCTGCCCAGCCTCACCCTCCTTTGCTTCCTATAATTCCTATCGCTTCTCGGATGAAATCCAGTGCTCTGTCTTAGATGATCTGTTCAAAGTGTGAGTATTTTACTCAGTATTTTAATTACCTTCCATGAGAGAAGTGCCCGCTAGCTGCATCTGGTCCACCATATTCACATTTCTACTTATATTTTACTCATACATATCAGACGTACATATTTTGGAGATACATGTGGTAATTTGATACCTTCATATAATCAAATCAGGGTAACTGGATTATCTCTCACCTTAAATATTCATCTTTTGTTTACAGTAGGATCGTGTGACTTATTCTCTCCTAGCTATTTTGAAATGTACAATTGATTAATGCTAACTGTAGTCATCCTACTGATGCATCAAACATCATGTTTTATTTATTTTATCTAAGTATTTATTTGTACACATTAATCAACCTCTCTTCATGCCTTTCTCCCCCATCTATCCTTCCCGGCCTCTGGTAATCACAAATCTACGCTCAATCTTCATGAAATCTACTTTTTTTCTTTAGCTCCTACATATGACTGAGAACATGCAATATTTCTCTTTCTGTGCTTGGCTTATTTCACTCAACATAATGAACTTCAGTTCCATCTATGTTGCTACAATGCCAGGATTTCATTCTATTTTATGGATAAATAATATTCCATGGTGTATATATACCACATATTTTTTCTATTCATCTACTGTTGGGACACTAAGTTGATTCCATATTTTGGCTGTTGAAAACAGTGCTGTAATAATTATGTGAGTGCAGATATCTCTTCAATATATTGATTTCCTTTCTTTTGGATATATAGCCAGTAGTGAAGTTGGTGGATCATATGGTAGTTCTATATGTAGTTTTTTAACCACCCCTCCATACTGTTTTCCATGGTCATTGTACTAATTTACATTCCTACCAGCACTGTACAAGGGTTCTGCTATTTCCACATCCTCAGCAGCATCCTTTTTTCTCTGTCTTTGATAAAAGCCATTCTAACTGGGGTGAGATTATATGTCATTATGGTTTTCATTTACATTTCTTTGACAATTCAGCATTTTTTATACACCTATTGGCCATTTCTATGTCTTCTTTTGATAAATGTCTATTCAGATCTTTTGCCCATTTTTTATTCAGATCATTTGGCTTTTTGTTATTGGGTTGTTTGAGCTCCTTATATATTCTGCTTGTTAATCCCTTGGACGATGGGAAGTTTGCAAATATTTTCTACCATTATTTGGGTTGTCTTTTCATTTTGTTGTTTCCTTTCCCGTGCAGAAGCTTTTAGCTTGATGTAATTCTGTTTATCTTTTTTTTGCCTTCGTTGACTGTGTTTTGAGTTCTCTCACACACACAATATCTTTGCCCAGATGAATCCCTGCATTTTCTTCTAGTAGTTTTATAGTTTCAGGTTTTAGATTTAAGTCTTTATTCCATTTTTATTTGACCTTTGTATATAGTGAGAGACAGAGGTCTAGTTTTATTTTTCTGCATATGGTTATCCAATTTTTCTAACGCCATTTATTGTAAAGGGTGCCCTTTCTTCAATGTATGTTCTTGCATCTTTATCAAAAATGAATTGGCTGTAAAAGTGTGGATTTATATCTGGGTTCTGTGTTCTGTTGCACTGGTCTATGTATCTGTTTTTATGCTACTACCATGCTGATTTGGTTACTATAGCTTTGTAGTATATTTTGAAGTCAAGTCAGATAGTGTGATCCCCCCAGTTTTTTGTTTTTGTTTTTGTTTTTGGTAAAGATTGCTTTAGTTATTCCAGTTCTTTTGTGAATTCATATAAATTTTAAGATTTTTTTTCCTTTTTCTGTGAAGAAAGCAATTAGTAGTTTGATAGAAATAAATAGAATCTGTAAATTGCTTCAGGTACCATTGTCATTTTAACAATATTAATTCTTCCAACCCACTAGCATGGAATAGTCTTCCATTCTTCTGTGTCCTCTTCAATTTCTTCCATCAGTGTTTTATAGTTTTTCTTGCATATGTCTTTCACTTTGTGGTTAAATCAATTCCTAAGTATTTTATATTCTTCGTAGCTATTGTAAATGGGATTGCTCTCTTTATTTCTTTTTCTTGTTTGCTGTTGGTGTATATAAATTCTACTGATTTTGTATGTTGTTTTTTCATCCTACAGCTTTACTAAATTTGTTTCACTAGTTCTAACAGTTTTCAGTGTAGTATTTAGGGTTTTCTAGGTATAAGATCATGTTATCTGTGAACAAAGCTAATTTGACTTCTTCCTTTTCTGTTTGGGTGCTCTTTATTTCTTTCTCTTGCCTAATTACTCTTACTAGAACATCCAGTACTATGTTGAATAAACGTAGTAAAAGTGAGCATCCTTGTCTTGTTCCAAATCTTAGAGAAAAGGCTTTCAGTTTTTCCTCATTCAGTGTGATGTTGGCTATGGAGCTGTCATATATGGCTCTTATTATTTTGAGGTTTTTATTATACTCAGTTTGTTGAAGGTTTTTATTATGAAGGAATGTTGAATTCTATCAAATGCTTTTTCAACATCTATTGAAATGATAGTATGATTTTTTGGTTTTGATTCTGTTAGTGTGACGCATACATGTATTGATTTGAGCACTTTGAACCATCCTTGCATCGCTGGGATGAATCCCACTTGGTCATGATGAGTGATATTTTTAATGTGTTGGTGAATTTGGTCTGCTAGTCTTTCATTGGGGAATTTTGGATCTATGTTTATCAGTGGTATTGGCCTGTGGTCTTATATTTTGTTGTGTTATGGTCTGGTTTTGCTATCAGGGTAATGCTGGCCTCATAGAATGATTTGAAATTATTCCCTTCTCTTCAACTTTTTGAAGATATATTTGTTAATTATTGTAGATTTAGGTGGTATAAATGTAGTTTTGCTACATGGATATATTGTGCAGTGCTTAAGTCTCATATTTTAGTGTAGCCATCATCCAAATAGTGTACATTGTATGCATTAAGTAATTTCTCACCCCTTGCCCTCTTTCACCACACCTATTCAACTTAGTATTGGAAGTTCTGGCCAGGGAAATCATGCAAGAGAAAGAAATAAAGGGCATTCAAATAGGAATAGAGGAAGTCATACTATTTTGAAGATGACCTGATCCTATTTCTAGAAAACCCCATTATCTCAGCCCAAAAGCTTCTTAAGCTGACAAGCAACTTCAGCCAAGTCTTGGGATACAAAATCAATGTGCAAAAATCGCTAGCCTTCCTATACACCAACAACAGGCAAGCCAAGAGCCAAATCACGAGTGAACTCCCATTTACAATTGCCACAAAAATAATAAAATACCTAGCAGTACAGCTAAGTAGGGTGGTGAAAGGCCTCTACAAGAACTACAGAACATTACTTAAAGAAATCAGAGATGACATCAACAAATGAAAAAACATTTTATGCTCATGGATAGGAAGAATCAAGATTACTAAAATGGCCATACTGCCCAAAGCAATTTATAGATTCAATGCTATTCTCATTAAACTACCATTGACCTTCTTCACAGAACTAGAAAATACTATTTTAATATTCATATGGAGCCAAAAAAGAGCTCGAATAGCCAAGGCAATCCTAAGCAAAAAGAACAAAGCTCAAGACATGATGCTATATGACTTCAAACTATACTACAGGGCTACAGTAACCAAAACAGCCTCATACTAGTACAAGAACAGACAAAGACTAATGGAACAGAATAGAGAACCCAGAAATAAGACTACACACTTACCATCATCTGATCTTTGACAAACCTGACAAAAGCAAGCAATAAGAAAAGGATTTCTGATTCAATTAATGGTGCTGGGATAACTGACTAGCCATAAGCATAAGATTAAAACTGGACCCATTCCTTATACCATGTACGAAAATTAACTCAAGGTGGATTAAAGACTTAACATGTAAAACCCAAAACTGTAAAAATCCTGGAAGACAACCTAGGCAATACCATGTAGGACATAGGCATGGGCAAACATTTCATGACAAAGATGCCAAAGGAAATTGCAACAAAAGCAAAAATTGATGAATGGGATCTAATTAAACTAAAGAGCATCTGCACAGCAAAAGAAACTATCCACAGAACAAACAAACAACCTACAGAATGGGAGAAAATTTTTGCAAACCATGCATCTCACAAAGATCTAATAACCAGAATCTATAAGGAACTTAACTAATTTACAAGAAAAAAAACAATTCCATTAAAAAGTGGACAAAGGACATGAACAGACACTTCTCAAAAGAAGACATACATGCAGCCAACAATCATATGAAAAAAAGCTCAACATCACTGATCATTAGAATGATGCAAATCAAAACCACAATGAGATACCATCTTACACCAGTCAGAAGGGCTATTATTAAAAAATCAGAAACTAACTGATGCTGGCAAGGTTGTGGAGAAAATGGAATGCATTTACACTGCTGGTAGGAAAGTAAATTAGTTCAACCATTGTGGATGGCAGTGTGGTGATTCCTAAAGACAGAAATACCAGTGGACCCCGCAATCCCATTACTGGGTGTATACCCAAAGGAATATAAATGGTTCTGTTACAAAGACACATGCACACATGTCTTCATTTCAGCACTATTCACAACAGCGAAGACATGGAATCAACCTAAATGCCCAACAATGATAGACTGGATAAAGAAATTGTGGCATATATGTACTATAGAATATCATGCAGCCATAAAAAAGAATGAGATTATGTCCTTTGCAGGGACAAAGATGGAGCTGGAGGCCATTATCCTTAGCAAACTATCACATGAACAGAAAACCAAATACCACATGTTCTCATTTATAAGTGGGAGCTAAATGATGAGAACACATGGACACATGGTGGTGAACAAAACACACTGGGGCTTATTAGAGGGGACAGGGAGGGAGGAGGGAGAGGATCAGAAAAAATAACTAATGGTTACTAGGCTTAATACCTGAGTGATGAAATAATCTGTTCAATAGCCCCCATGTCACATCTTTACCTATGTAACATACCTGCTACATGTACCCCTGAATTTAAAAGTATTTTAAAAATTTTTCATCCTCCACTTCTCCTTTCACCCTCATGCCCTCTGAGTCTCCAGTGTCTATTATTTCACTTTCTATATCGATGTGTCCACATTATTTAGGTCCCACATTAGAACATATGGTATTTGACTATTTTCAAGTTATTTCACTTAAGATAATGGCATCTAGTTCCATCCATGTTGCTACAAAAGACATTTTATCATTGTTTATGGCTGAGTAGTATTCCTTGCTCTGTGTGTGTGTGTGTGTGTGTGTGTGTGTGTGTGTGTGTGTGTCACATTTTCTTTATTCAACCATCCATAGAGGGGCACTTGGGTTGATTCCTTATCTTTGTTATTATGAATAGTGCTGTGATAAACATGAGTGTAGGTATCTTTTTTATATGATGATTTCCTTTTCCTTTGGGTAGATACCCAGTAGTGGGATTGCTGGATTAATGATGAGAATTGCTGTTAGCTCTTTTAAATGTTTGGTAAAATTCAGCAGTAAAACCATCAGGTCCCAGACTTCTATTTGATGGGATACATTTTAGCACAGCTTCAATCTTATTATTCATTATTGGTTTAAGGTTTTTTTTTTTTACAGTTCAGTGGGTTTTATTCATTTTATTTTATAGAGTTTTATTTTAGGTTCAGGTGTACATATGCAAGTTTGTTATGTAGGTAAATTGCATGTCACTGGAGTTTGGTGTACAGCCAGATAATAAACATAGTACTCAATAGGTAGTTTTTCAATCCTCACTCTCTTCCTACTCTCTATCCTGAAGTAGGCCCAGTGCCTGTTGTTCCTTTCCTTGTGCCCATATGTACTCAATGTTTAACTCCCACTTATGATAACAGGTGGTATTTGGTTTTCTGTTCCTGCATTAGTTCACTTAGGATAATGACCTCCAGGTTCATCCATGTTGCTGCAAAAAACATGATCTCATTCTTTTTTATAATGGCATAGTATTCCATGGTGTATATGTACCACATTTCTAAAACTTATTCTACCGTTGATGGGAATTCAGGTTGATTCTGTCTCTGCCATTGCGAATAGTGCTGCAATGAACATAAGCATGCACGTATCTTTATAGCGGAACAATCTACATTCCTTTGGGCATATACCCAGTAGTGATATTGCTAGGCTGAATGATGATTCTGTTTTAATTTTTTTAGAGAAATCACCAAACTGTTTTCCACAATCACTCAACTAATTTTCATTCCCATCAACAGTATATAAGCATTCCCTTTTCTCTGCATCCTTGCCAGCATCTGTTGTTTTTTTTACTTTTTAATAATAGCCATTTTTACTGGTGCAAGATGGTATCACATCGTGGTTTTGATTTGCACTTCTCTAATGATCAGTGATGTTGAGCATTTTGTCATATGCTTATTGGCTGTGTGTATGTCTTCTTTTGAAAAGTGTTCATGTACTTTGCTCACTTTTTAACGGGGTCGTTTGTTTTTTGCTTATAGATTCTGGATCAAACCTTAGATAGATGCATAGTTTGCAAATATTTTCTCTCATTCTTTAGGTTATTCGTTTACTCTGTTGATAGTTACTTTTGCTGTGCAGAATCTCTTTAGTTTAATTAGGTTCCATTTGTCAATTTTTGTTTTTGTTGCAATTGTTTTGGCATCTTAATCACAAAATATTTGTCAGGTCTTATGTCCAGAATGGTATTTCCTCAGTTATCTCCCATGATTTTTATAGTTTTTATAAGTCTTTCATCCATCCTGAGTTAATTTTTGCACATAGTATAAAGAAGGGGTCCAGTTTCAATCTTCTGCTTATGCTAGCCAGTTGTCCCAGCACCATTTATTAAATAGTGAGACTTTCCCAATTGTTTGTTTTCGTCAACTTAGTTGAAGATCAGATGGTTTTAGGTGTTCAACTTTATTTCTGGGTTCTCTGTTGTGTTCCATTGGCCTGTGTGTCTGTTTTTGTACCAATACCATAGTTTCAGTTACTGTAGCCTTGTAGTATAGTTTGAAGTCCGGTAACATAATGCCTCCAGCATTGTGCTTTTTGCTTAGGATCATCTTGGATATTCAGGCTCTTTTTTGGTTCTATATGAACTTCAGAATAGTTTTTTTCTAATTCTCTGAAGAATGTCCTTGGTAGTTTGATAGGAATAACATTGAATCTGTAAATTGCTTTGGGCAGTATGGCCATTTTAACAACACTGATTCTTTCTATCCCTGGGCATGGAAGGTTTTTCCATTTTTTATCCTACATGATTTCTTTGAGCAGTGTTTTGTAATTCTCATTTTAGAAATCTTTCACCTCCCTGCTTAGCAGTATTGCTAGGTATTTTATTCTTTTTGTGGCTATTGTGAATGGGATTGCATTTCATGATTTGGCCCCCAGCTTAGATATTTTTGGTATATAGGGATGCTACTGGTTTTTGTACATTAATTTTGTATCCTGAAACTTTGCCGACATTGTTTATTAGATTAAGGAGCTTTTTGGCAGAGACTATGGGATTCTCTAGGTATGGAATCATAGTCTTCAAACAGGGATAGTTTGACTTTCACTCTTCCTGTTTGCATGCCCTTTATTGAGGTTTTTTATTTCTTCCTGGTTCAATCTCAGTGGACTGCATATGTCCAGGAATTTATCCACTTATCTGGGTTTTTCAATTTACTGGTGAAAAGTCCAGAATGATTCTTTGCATTTCTGAAGTTTCAGTTGTTATGTTCCCTTTTTCATTTCTGTTTATTTATCTGTTTTTTTGTTTGTTTTGTTTTAGTCTCAATTCTATTTATGTCTGCTGTGATCTTTATTATTCATTTATTTCTACTAATGTTGGGTTTGGTTCATTCTTGATTTTCTGCTTCTTTGAAGTGCATCATTAGGTTGTTTATTTCAAGTCTTTCTGAGTTTATCATATAGGCATTTTTTGCTGTGAACTTCCTTCTTAGCACTGCTTTTGCTGTATTCCATAGCTTATGGTGTGTTGCATTTCCATTTTCATTGTTTCAAGAATTTTTAAAATTGCTTTCTTTATTTCTTCATTAACCCACTGGTTGTTCAGGGGCATGTTGTTTAATTTCTTTGTTTTGGTGTTGTCTCTGAGGTTTCCCTTGTTGTTCACTTCTAGTTTAATTCCCCTGTGGTCAGAGAAGATACTTGATATAATTTCTATTTTCTTGGAATTTGTTCACACTTGTTTTGTCATTTAAGACATGGTCTTTTCTGGAGAATGTTCCATATGCTGGCAAAAAGAATGTGTATTATATAGCAGTTGGGTGAAATCTTCTGTGTGTGTTAGGGCTGTTTGATCTAGTGTGTAGTTTAACTCCTGTGTTGTTTTATTTTCTGTCAGAATGATCTGTCCATTACTTAGACTGAGACATTGATGTCCCCTGCTATTATTGTATTTCAGCCTATCTCTTCCTTTAGATGTATTTTTTAGTCTATTTGTAATTTTTCCATTGGATTTTATACCTTCAAACATTTTCTTTTTGCACATTAGTGCTTTTTTTCTTTCAGATTGAAGAACTCTCTTTATCATTTCTTGTAAGAAAAGTCTGGTGGTGGTGAATTCTCTCAGCTTCTGTTTGTCTGGGGAAGACTTTATCTCTATTTCATATCTGAAGGATAAATTTGCTTGGTAAAGTATGCTCAGATGGCAGTTTTAGTTTTCTTTGAGGAGTTTGAAAATGTCATTCCACTCCCTCCTGGCCTGTATGGTTACCATTGAGAGGCCTATTCTCAGAGTTCTTGGAGTTATTTTATATGTTATTTGCTTCTTTTGCTGCTTTTAAATTTTTCTCTTTGTCCTTGACCTTTGAGAGTTTGATTACTATAAGCTTTGGGGTCATCTTACTTGGATCAAATTGTTTGGTGTTCTTTGACCTTCTTGTCCCTGGATATTTTATCCTCTTCAAATTTTGGAAAGTTTTCTCTTATTATTTCCTTGGATAAAATTTCTATCCCCTGCTCCTGCTCAGCCCCTGCCTTAGGGTTCTTTAAAGGGACAGAACTAATAGGATATATGTATATATGCAAAGGAGTTTATTAGGATAATTGACACACATGAATCAAGGTGAAGTCCCAAGATAGGCTGTCTGCAAGCTGAGGAGCAAGGAAGCCAGTCCAGTCCTAAAGTCTCAAAAGTTGGGAAGCCAACAAAGCAGCCTTCAGTCTGTGGCCAAAGGCCTGAGAGCCCCTGGCAAATCACTGGTGTGAGTCCAAAAGCTCAAGAACTTGGAGTCTGATGTTTGAGGGAAGGAAGCATCCAGCAATGGAGAAAGATGGAGGCTGGAAGACTCAGCAAGTCTGCTCTTCCATCTTCTCCTGCCTACTTTATTCTGGCTGCTCTGGCAGCTGATTTGATGGTGCTCACCTAGATTGAGGGTGGGTCTGCCTCTCCCAGTCCACTGACTCAAATGTTAATATCCATTGGCAACATCCTCACAGACACATCCAGGAGCAATACTTTGCATCCTTCAACCTAATCAAGTTGACACTCAATATTAACCATCACGGCCCCCTTTTGAACACCAATAATTTTTAGATATGGTATTTGAGGTTCTTTTCTGTATCTTGTAGGTTATCTTCATTTCTTCTCATTCTTTTTTTCTCTTCTCTGAGTGTGTAATTTCAAATAACCTGTCTTTGAGTTCACTGATTGCTTAATCTATGCTGCTGTTGAAATTAATTTTTTAGCTCAGCAAATGTATTTCTCAATTTCAAGATTTGTTTGATTTGTTACTATTTCAATTTCTGTTAACTTTCTCTGATACATTTCTGAATTGATTTTCTGTGTTTCTTGGAGATCACTGAGTTTCCTTAAAACTGCCATTTTGAATTCTTGGTCGGAGAGCTCACAAATCACCATCTCATTAGAATCAGTCATTGGATCCTATTAGATTTTTGCTTTGTCTTTTTGAGAAGGTCATGGTTCCCTGTTTGCTGTTGTTTCTTATGGGTCTATGTATATGTCTTTAAATTAAAGGATTAGTTATTTATTCCAGTCTTCTTTGTCAGGATTATTTTGAGTTTTATTGGATATGTTTACTTTGATATTCTTTGTACTTTACCTATTGAATGTATTTTTGTTTCCACTAGGTCACTGCCTCCTTTTTGTCAGTAGATGGAGCCTAAGCCAAGGTTTGCCTTGGCTCTAGCAAATGATCAGATGTGTGCCCATCTGGAATAGGTAAGGTCCCAAAAGGGCTATCTTGGCAGTGTGGAAAGGCTGTCTAGGGGAACCTGTGGAACATGCATTTTACAGCATGGTCCTGCTGAACAGCCACTCTGATTCATTGTGTTCTTTGGCCAAGTTATAGAACAGAGTGTCTAAGGCTGGGCATGGTAGTCCTATCTTCCTCCATTGTCTCTCGCTGTCCATAGGGATATGCCTCCATGCTTCCTGTGGGTTGAGGCATGGACAGTTCTCCTGCCAAAGAACCCAAGATGGTGAGAAAGTTGGTTGTCCAACTCAATCTCACTTTTTCCAGTGAAGAAATTATGAGTCAGGGAAAAATTTCCACATGCCTGATACCAGGCAGATGGAAGAAAAGGTGTCGGAGATATGAAAGTCTTATTCTCTTGCCATCTGGTCAGAGATTTTTAACTTTTCTATGGCCCTGGGGACTGACTCATCCTCATATTTGAGTTCTAGGATGTTGCTGGTGATAATCTCAAGGCTATGTATTTGTTTTTGGTTTTCTGTGGGAGGAGTGAAGCCAATGTGTGTCTACACCTCTATTTTCATGCCAGAAATCTCTGCCCATTTTAATTTTTGAGGCAACATATACACATTTGGGTGTGCACTTTGTTAAATGTGATTAATTGAATACACACTTTGATGAATTTACCTAAATAATGTGGTCGAATTAAAGTGTAACCTAGAGTAAGGAAGGTGTGTTAGGCCATTCTTGCATTGCTATAAAGAAATATCTGAGGTTGGGGGGCTGGGTGCAGTGGCTCACTCCTATAATCCCAGCACTTTGGGAGGCCAAGGTGGGCAGATCATGAGGTCAGGAGATGGAGACCATCCTGGCTAACGCAGTGAAACCCCGTCTCTACCAAAAATACAAAAATAATCAGCTGGGCGTGGTGGTGAGCTCATGTAGACCCAGCTACTCGGGAGGCTGAGGCAGGAGAATGGTGTGAACCCGGGAGGAAGAGCTTGCGGTGAGCCAAGATTGCGCCACTGCACTCCAGCCTGGGTGACAGAGCAAGACTCTGTCTCAAAAAAAAAAAAAAAAAAAAAAAAAAAGCAAGAAATATCTGAGGTTGGGTAATTTATAAAGAAAGGAAGCTTAATTGGCTTATGGTTTTTCAGGCTGTACAATCATGGCACCAAAATCTATTTGGCTTCTGGGGAGGTTTCAGGGAGCTTTCACTCATTGAGGAAGGTAAAGTGGGTGCAGGAACATCATATGGCAAAAGCAGGAGCAAGAAGGAAGGAGGCATGTCACACTTTTAAAAACCAGATCTCACAGAATTCACTCACCCCTCACCAAGGAGATGGTGCTAAGCCATTCACGAGGGGTCTGCCCCCATGATTCACACACCTCCCGCCAGGCCTCACCTCCATCACAGGGCATTACATTTCAACATGAGATTTGGTGAAGACACAGATACAGACCATATCAGAAGGGTTTTCAGATGTCTCAGACTGTCTATCTATCTCAAGCTTTAGAACATAGTGGATGCAGTGATTATCTTAAAGTATTTTTAGAAGATTGGGATGCTTCAAGATCTCAGGCGAATACTCAACCAGGAGAAGTACAGCAACACTCTCAGGATTTGAAGCCAATCCATGCCTGTATTATTCTTAAATAACAGCTCCTGACTTGCTATTGGCTTTTGGTAAAAACTTAATGCCCAATAACGGGGTACCAGAAGAAGATAACACCAAGGCTTTCCATCACAAACCAAGAGTCATCTGATCCATGCAACATTAAATTAGGCACTCCTAGCAGCTCACCATCATCACGTAGAAGTGAAATATAAAAGCCTGGGCCCAAACAGGTCACAATCAAATTCTAGAAGCACTCTCAATATGCCTACTTCCCTTTTACTATCCCACCTTGACCCACACCCATGGCCTCATTGAGAGTTTCCTATTACCAGCTCACTGGGACAAGATCAGTGAGAATCAACCACCTCCACACAATATGTTGTCATGTGCCAAAACTGAAGTTCTTTGGCATTAAAGCCCCACTTGGGGACTCAAAACACTGGGAAAGAGATATTCTTCCAGTGATTAGAACTTTGATTAGTACATCTTCTTCACTGTTTCTAGAAGGAGAGAGAAACTAGAAAGTGCTTAATGGCCAGGGACTTCGAAGGAATGAGATTGCATAATTTGTGATAAGGACATTTGTATAAGAGTTATGAAGACAGACCTCTTAAAACATGCTCATGTTATGAGAATATCTGAGTCCCATATGAATTTCATTTTTAAAAAACCCTTTATGCAAAAGCTCTTAATGATTCATTTGGTATTCTTTACCTACTCTGTATAAGACAATAAGCTTTCTTCCCTCAGCCACCCCAGTGCTGAGACTCATTAACAAAGTGGTCAAGGAAACAGGAAAGTTATGCATGAATTTTTAAAAATTGATTTTTCTTCACTGAGGTTTATCTGACTATTGCTCCCTTGAATTTGTTTGCCTTTTCTGCTGTTCTTCTGATAGCACCATCATACTTGAATTTATGGAATGCTTTTTCATCATAGTTTTACACACAAGATTGCATCTTCAACAAAGTCTCATTTTTTCTATTAAATAGGGAAGCATTTCTTCTAAGCTCATTGGGGTCCATTGGTATTATTGCATACCTTCTCATCTATTGGCAATGACTTATAGAAGACGTGGATATTACACACAATGAGATACAATAACTTGACAGGTTGGCCTCTGTCCTTGAGAGCAACTTATGTTCTAATCAAATATATATATATAGGCTATGGGATAAAAATCATGTGTGTGTGTGTGTGTGTGTGTATGTGTGTGTGTGAGTTTTATCTCATAGCCTAAATAAAAAGGTGGCAAAATAAGAGATGGAATTTGTAATAGAATATCTCACTATCACAATGAATTCCCCATTCATAGTATTTCCGTGATACTTCTCCTTCATTAAAAGTTTTAAGACTCAACAGAGAAATACTTCCTCTAGGAAGCATAACTTTATTTTCATCGAATTAGAAGTTGAAACAGATAAATGGTCAGTTTTTGACTCCTCATGCTCTATATGACCATATCAAAAAAAAAGAAGACATTTACATCACATTACATTTTTTACAATAAAATCAATTTTGACCATCAATGAAAAAGGGAGAAATAAATAGATAAGTATGTATAAAGCCCAAGGATTCCCTAGGAAGTTTCCTTATACTACCATGTTCTTAGTAAAATGTAACAGAAAATTACTGTAGCCAAATGCATGAAGGACCACTGAGGACCAAATCTCTGAAGAATTAGCATTTGGGTGACATCATTTGCAAAGAATCTTGACCAACTAAAAATTTCTCTGAAGAAAAAGAGAATATGCAGCAGTTAATACAACTCATAAACACAACTTAAGGTCCTATTACCATTAAGGAAATAAGGACTTTAGCTATTCTTATTGCTATGTCACATTTTTAGTGCTGTAAGTAATGTCTCTTTTATTTTTTCTTCTTTACCCTATTATTGTACATAGAGTATATTAGTTGTTGTTAACTTTACAATTTAATCTCTTGGTCATATTATATTGATATAAGGTCATACAGAACTAGAGGAGAAGTAGACACTGGACTTGATGCCAAAAGTAGTAACTGGGAAATATTTGGTATTGCCTTTCTTTGAGGATGGGGTAAATTTTAATCAATGGGCCCTAATTGCTTTACTTTAGCTGGGAATGTATTTGGGAAGGGGAATGAGGTTAAAGATTGATAGGTTTCACTAAATGGATGAATTTTAATAAATATTTGTCATCTGAAGAGGCGAGGCAGGGAAACCTTGCATATGAACAGCCATATAGAGTTTGGCAAGAGATATGGTCCGCATTCAGCAATAGTACCTTGCTGCTTTTACTTAGGACAAGTGCGTGGTGCCTACATTTGTTCACTCAGATTCCCTTATCTTGGACTTTGAATGAAGATAGGAAAACATTCTTTCTGGAAGCCAAAACATTGTCAGTAACATAAAGTTTCCAGGGGCAACCTTAGAATACTCTTAGAGTATTCACAGACATGATGAAGCACCTGTTTTTTTGATGGTGGGCACAATGGTAATGCCGCTACAGTGATCCTGGCATGATTTTGGTTATGGTTCTAGTAGAATATCTTCTCTATATCTAAAGATAGCCCAATCTGTTTCTATTCTATATCTGTTTCTCTAGCCTTTTCAATGATTGTGTAAACTACCCAATATCCTTCCAAATACTTTATTTCTGTTCAGATAAGTGAAAGAGAATTATTTTATATCAGCACTAACTCCTTGGCATAACCACCAGACTTAGAAGCTACATAATACTTGGTCTTCCCTTTAACCACTATTCCCCTCCTTCTCTTCAGTTCCAACCACACTGGGCTTCTTGCTGTCCTCCAAACATGTAACTGTCAGCCACACACACACACACACACACACACACACACACACACACACAGAGTTTGTTTCCCTCATCCATCTCAGGATGCCATGCTCACTGCTAATTCTGCCTTATACACTCCACCTTAAATGGCCCTGTGTTATCTAGGGCAGACTTGACTGGCTAACCCAACACCCATTTCACTGTCCTTTCTCCTTTGTCTGCCTCTACCACAGCAGCTGGAAAATAGTCACTGCCCCACAGTACCCTGCAGCAATAGATGGCTGTGTGACAGAGTAGCAGACAGTAAGACTTAAGCAAAGACTGCTGGAGGCATGTTTGCCTTCCTGATAAAAAAGTCATATGTTACAGGCACCAGGGCTGGCTTCAGGGCTTGCAAACTGTGCAGTGACAGAGGGCCCTGCTCTCAGAAGGGCTCTGCCCATCTCTTCTCCATCTGGTTAAGTGCTCTGCTGTTGCCCTTTCAAAATTCTTAATATTTATCCTTAATTTATTTTATAAGTGAGGTCCAAGCATGATCATGAGCAGCAGATTCACCAGGTGATAGCTCAGGCTCTGCAGCCAAAGCAGACAGTGCAGGCACTGCATAATTCACTGGTGGCCAGGTACAAGCGCCTTCGGCTGTCTGGAACAGTGCTCTGGGACATAGCCAGAGGCCACCAGCTTGCCCTGCTGTCCCTGGAGGCCTTTTCTGCAGCCTCTGCACAAATACTAAACTCTCGCCCTCAGCACTGGGATAGGTGTGCCATCACTGAGGAGGTAAACTTTGTTAGTAAATTATTACAAAATAAAATGATACAAAAAGACATTGAAATAAAGCAAATAATTTGGGAGTTACTTGGATTCCTCAGGGAGTTTAGAATCTCTACTTTTGGAAATGACTGCAGCATTGAAAAGCAAATGGAAATTAAATTTAAAGGTTGTAGCATTCCACGGAAAAGAACACTATTCTCCAGTGAAGCTTTGGATGAACTAATTATTAACAAGGAAGACAACTTTCAGATTAATGTTTCCTTTTTAACTGAAGATAAACTGCATAAACCGACATGTTGAATTATATACAAAGCATGAGGCCATTTTCCGTTTCTTGTTCCACCTCCGTACAGTACAGGAAATGTCAGAGGAGATATTAAAATGCAATTGTACAAATTTACAATTAAAATAAAATTCAAATTTACAGAATGCTGATTTTAGAAAAATTGTTTCATGAGAGTCAATTCTAGATGTCTTAAAATTTATATTTTGAAACAATTGGTCAGAAAATTTCCCTATGTTGTCGCAGTCTATAAAACACCCTTAACAGACACAGTAACAGTTGCATCAGCAGAAAGATCCTTGTCAAAATTTAAAAATCATCAAAATTGTTTGCAGTCTTGCATTTGCCAAGAGTGGCTGGTATTGATTTCAATTATATTGATTGAAAGTAAACTTATTTTAGTATGAATTTTGATGACCTATAAATAAAATTACAGAAAAAGCAAGCCCAAAACCAGTATGATCAATTCAGATAGCACATGAATTTTTGTTTTTATGTGCATTTATGACACAAAAATATTGTTTGTAATTTATAATTCTGTATTTTTTTCTTGTGTACAAACTGTTACATTTTTAAAGTAAGACAAATTTTTTTTTAAGGAAAAGCCTTTCATTTTTTTGATATCTTTAATGTCACTTTTTTCCCACTTTTTGAACAAATGGCCCCACAGGTTAATCTTTCAATGCCCTCCTGCATTTTGCACCATTCCCGACAGGCACTGCCCTTTCCTTTTCTTTCTGACTGGAATGCATATGCAATCCCTATGGGTACAGTGTCATTCTGAAATCATGAGGAGGTAAAACCAACATATGAAAGATGAGGCTGGGCATGGTGGCTCAAACGCCTGTAATCCCAGCACTTTGGGAGACCGAGGTTGGGGATTGCTTGAGGTCAGGAGTTTGAGACCAGCCTGGCCAACATGGTAAAACCCTATCTCTACCAAAAATACAAAAATTAGATGGGCGTGGTGGTGCATGCCTGTAATCCCAGCTACTCAGGAGGCTGAGGCTGGAGAATCACTTGAACCCAGGAGGCGGAAGTTGCAGTGAGCCGAGATGGCATCACTGCACTCCAGCCTGGGTGACAGAGTGAGACCCTGCCACACACACACACACACACACACACACACACACAAAGAATAACCAGAATGATGTGTCATCCCTGTTCTTGATATTGCCACTGAGTTGGTACGTCTGTCCCACCTGACTCCCCTACTAGATATCCTGGTACATATTTATTACAAAAAATGATAGAGTGCCAATGGTTTGAGCCATTGTTTGTCCACTTTTATGTTATGTCTGTGCATCACTCAGATGTCAACTCGTATGTCCCTCCTTGGAGAGTAAACCCATGACCCCTTAAGGATTTCTCCTCCCACTGTCATGTTCATCCCCTTCGCATTTATAACACACATCACTACCTTGAGTGATCTTATTTCTCTGTTCACATAATTATTTTTATCTTATCTAAAATAAAGTGTAAACTCTATAAAGGCAGAAATAATGTGTGTTATTTGCCATGGCACACCCAGCACCCTGGCACAGAGTACCTATTCAAGAACTGTTTGCTGAATGAGTAAGTGAATAAATTAACTAATAAATGGCTTCCCTCAGCAAAGAAACCAGAGTCAGGTCACAAAATAGGAATGCAAAAAACATCTCTTAATTATTTATTTCTTCAGCAATAAAAAAATAAGCATTTTCAAGTATTTCCACGTGCAAATTATTGTGGTTTGCAAATTGCCTTATGCTAGTTGGTGAGAATATTTTTTATGTAAGCCCAAAATGCACAAAACTGAGTTTCCAGGGAGGTAGAGTCTGTCCTCTTTTCTTAAGAGTAGGGCCCATTGTTATCTTGCTGCCAGACTGCACAACCCTACCTTCTACCATAACAAGGCCCTACAGTATTACAAATGCTCAGTATCTGAAACAGAACCCATGGATATTAATGCATCTAAGATCATCTTTTGACTATAGTTTTACAGCTGTTATCACATTCCAGGGTAAAATCACATTCCAGGGAGCTGAAATCCTGATAGGGAAAATAGAAAGCTGAATGTTAGCTCTACCCCCGCCTCCCTGGTACACAGACAGTTCCCACCCACTACCCATCTTCTGCAGGATGCATATGCAACCTTTCCATATCTCCATCTCAGCCAGAACTTGAGAGGTGATTTTTTTTTCAATTATCTTACTTATCTTAATGTTTTTCTCTGTACTTTGAATACATGATCCATTTTATCTCTATATCTCACCTGTACCTTTTTGCCACTTCAATTCAATTGAGGTCACATTTCTCTTCTTAAAACTTATTTTCCCCATTCACATCAGCTGGTAGCTGCAGGCAATAAGGGTTTCCTTCCAATCTTAGGTCCAGAGTCTCCTCCCCCAGTGACAGAATCCCAATTTAGTTCAGGTATGGCTGCAAATCCAGTGTCTTTTCTATCCTCTGTGCTGCTCCTCTTCCATTTAGTCTTGATCCAGCACAAGCCAATTGACAAGGCATTTTGACCGTATAAGAACCCAGGATAAACCTTGAAAGCACATTAGGTTCCTTCAGCACTGTGATTTGGTTATTAGAGATGACAACATACAAATGCAATCCAGAGCCCTGCAAATATATTCTTTGAAGGAAACATATATTTTTAAAACACACACATGCCACACATTGGCAATAATGAGAATAATATGATTACAATATAAACAAGTGTCCCAAATCTCACATATTTTTTATTTTGGGGTAAACAAGATTCCCAGGAACATGGATTATAGATTTGGTCTTTGGTTCTTTCTCATTAACTGTTGGCATTTTATCAGCATAGACATCTATAAGATGTAAGAAGGCATATGGTAGTACGTGTGTGTTTTGTGGGGTGATATACACACTAACTCCTACTTCACAGTATTTTATAATTTCCAAAGCTCTTTCCCATCCATTTTATTCTTACGATGTCCCTGTAAAGGGAGGAAATTAATATTGACCCAATTGTACAGGTGAGAAAACTGAGATCGGATAATTTAAATGACTCTCCCAAATTTCCTTAAGTTGATGTCGCTGCTTCCCATCATTGCAATGAAACGCCTTTCTCACTTTGTAAACTCCCTAGGATATAATAAAATTGAATTTGGTTACCACAGTGTTCTCTGTATTTTTTGCTTAATTTTAATTTTTTTTATAATAAAACTTTCTCCCACTCTAGTGTGGGGCAGCATATGTGGAAAGACAGAAAATAGTACCAATCAGACAGTGTATTTGCATGGCTTCTCAAGTACTCAGAATTCTAGCGATAACCCCTGCTGTCCCCATCAATTAATACACAATACTCCTATGTGATGGATTAGGTCCAGCAAATGTGTGAACTTAAAGAAGTGAAACTAGTAACTCTGTGACAGAGCAAAATGCAGAGTTCCAGTCAAATACTTCACCCATTTGCATGAGCTAATAGCTATGACAAATTTGTCTGCAGTTTTATTCAAGAAAACAAGAAAAGCCGAAACTGCAATACAAATAGCCTAATACATCAGTGCCAGTTTTTGAAAAGTCAGGAAACAAGTAACTGAATAAGATCTGGTTGAGAGAAGCCTTTTTTTTCGCTAAGCTTTAATGACTTTGTGACAGTTGGAAATATTGACCTGGAGCCCAGAAGTGTTGTTCGATGAAGATGAAGATACAAGGATGAGCAATTTTAGGCGGCCAATCACTCACTCATCAATTCATTTAACAAGTACTTTCTGAGGTGTCATTTTGTTCTATGAAGTGAGAGACACATTAGATAAATCTAGATTAATTTTCTCAAGGCAAGTAAAAAGAGAGGTGGGCTCAGGACAAAGCCAATCTCGTTCCATGTTCTAGCACCAGCTACAGTTCTCAGCTGGCAATCTTTTCCTCATCCTGCACAGCTCAGCTCACACATCTCTGCCTCCAAGGAAGATTTATTTCTGGCCCATTCTCTCCTGGACCCGTTCCTTGAGGCTTCCATGATGCTTTGTGCATATTTCTAGCACTGTACTAGCCATACTACTCTGAAATAAATTTCTTTTTGTGTACCTCTCTTATCCATAAAACATGGCCATCTTAAAGGGAAGACAACTTTTACCCATCTTTATTTCCACCATGGCAAATGCAGGGCCCAGTACAGGGTAGATGTTCACTCAGTGCTGGCTCTGTGAATGAGTAAAGGACTTAATGAATTTAACTTGGCAGGGAAAAAATACAAAATCTGCTTTTCTCATTAAAGAATGAACACGTAGATTGAATTAAAGCATCAAGCTTGATTGAATGCTTCAGCCTGCAAAAAAAAAGGTAAATTTTTTTAGATTTATTAATTTCCTCTGGAAAATGAAAATACTAATTATTTATAGAATTAGTCACTGAATCCTGCCTTCTAATTTTCTTACTGACAGCTTTTTAAATGATATTAGTGAAGACAGTCCCCAAAGATCTAAGGAATGCATCCAAACTTCATCAAAATCCAAGTAAGGAGGATTAATTAGATGGGATTGCTGTTTATGCTTTGGGTTCTTTCAGACTGAGCTAACATTAAGCCTCTGAAGTTCATGTCCTAAACTCCATTCTGTGCACAGCTACACACACTTCATGTAATCCACTGAGGGTGCTGGTAGCTCAATTTTAGAAAAGGAAAGGGATTTTTTCTAATTCCAATTTAGTAATTTACAATGAATTAGGTATCTAGTAAGGTGCAGCATTCTCAGCCAGGACATCATTATAAGTTTTTCTCTACTAATTCAGTTTTAGCAAGTGAGTGTATTAGTTTTAAAATATATATATCTTTGAAGAAACAAAGAACAAAAGTAGAAATGTTTCTTTGATTCTGAGAATCTATCCTAAGGACATGGCTATAAATAGAATTATTTTATGGCAAAAAGATGTTCAGTATATCTTTTTTTTGATAGCAGAAAAAAGGAACATTTTAAATGACCAAAAATGAAAGCATAATTAGGAACACTAAGGTATACACGGAATCACTTCTCAAATCTCTGATTTCTTTTTTTCTTTTTCCCTCTTACCCACTCCCCACTGACAGTAAACTTCTTATAATCCTTCATAAAGACAAATACAAGTTGTCTGAAGCAAATACCCCCTTTTCTCCTCAAACTAACATACTCGCTACACTTGTAGTCACTCTATCCTTTTCTGCTGTTACAAAGGAAGAAGTATCAAAAACCCAAATTCTCCATACTACTCTATTTCTCTTCAAAATTCTTTTTCTCAGGGGACTTTCTACCCCAATCTTCTGGATCTTGCTACTCACTCTAGTTTATTAAAAAGCAGACAAAACAAAACTTTTCCCTAGCTCATACCTCATTCTTGCTCCAGCGGTAATTGTGAGGGCCAGTTGTAAACTGCTTCCACTTCCTAACCTCTTATTTTCTCTTCAGTAGACACCAATAAGGCTTTTGCAACCACCAATTAATTGAAAATAATCTTAGTAAAGGACAACAATAATCCTACTGCAGCTAAATCAAATGAATTATTTACAATTCTCACATTACAGTACTTTTCAGTAGTACAGTTGATCCTTGAACAACATAGATTTGAACTGCAAGTGATCCACTTATACGTAGCTTTCTTTCAACCAAATGTGGATTGAGAATACAGTATTCTAGGGATTCAAAACCTGCATATTGGAAGGGTGGCTTTTCTTATAGGTGGGCTCTGCAAGGTGGCTATGGGACTTGAGTATGTGCAGATTTGGCTACAGGCAGGTGGTCCTGGAACCAATCCCCCATGTATATCAAGGGATGACTGTATATTACATCAGGGATTGGAAACTACAGCCTATCATGTTTTGTAAATATAATTTCATTGGAATACAGCCATATTAATTCATTTACATTTTATCTACGACTGCTTTCATGCTATAATGGCAAAATAGTCCCCTTTTGAACTACTCTCTTCCCTTAGCTTCTCTGACATTAATCCTCTTGTTTACGGTTTATCTAGCTTCTCCTGTTTCATCTCCTTTTCTGACTCCTCATCTATCAGTCTTCAAATACTGGAGTTCTGTGGGCTCAATCCTGGGTCTTCTCTTCTCATACATTCTATCTCTAGCAAGCTTCATCTATTCTTTCAGCTGAAAACAGCATCTCTAGGTTAATACTTCACAAATGCACATCATCAACTCAGACCTCTCCCTTGTGCTCCAGAATCACTGAGCCAACTGCATATATGACAGCTCCATTTGGATGTTTCACTGGCTTCTCAAACTTAAAAGTCCAGGACTGCACTGTTAACTTCCACACCATCACACACACACACACACACACACACACACACACACGAAATCTGTTTCTCTTGTAGAGGTTCTCATCATTGTTCATAGATCTTTTCTGGATCTATTAGCCCATGCTAGAAACCTAGGAGTCAAACTTGATAACTTCTTTCTCAATTCAGTGCTGTCAATTCCATTGTCAGGATAGGTCTTGAATTTACTGAGTTCTTTGTTTCACCACATCATTTCTGCAAGCTGCTATTATTTCTCCACTGTACTATTGTACTAGCAATCTTCTAAATGGGTACCCTATTTCTAGCCTCTGTTCAAATCATTTTTCATGAATCTGCCAGAGATCATTTTAGATCTAGTCTATGCTTCTCATTATAGAGTTCTGCATAATCTGACCCCTATTCACACCTCCTCCTTCATATCAGAACACATTTCCACCTGTCCATTATGTACCACCCACACTGACCATAAAAGACATCAAGTTATTTCCTGTCCTAGAGATTTTCACTCTTCCCCTTTTTCTCTGCTTGACTTCTATGCATTCTTCAATTCTTAGTTTAAATGTCACTCTTTCAGAAAGACCTTCTTTGACCACCCAGTGGAAACTTGGTCCTTTGTTATAACCTATCAGTACAATTGACTTTTTAATTATAGAGGACAATGTAGGACTCAAAATCCACAAAGAGAGATGCCCAATTTTTTTTTAGATTTCCTTGTTTGAATGAAATCAAATTAATTTAGCCTCTATCCACTTTTACTTTCTCAGGCAAATAAGAACTTTTACTTCAGAAATTCTCAGGAAATCCTCAGCATTGAATTATACCAAATATTAAGGCAATTACACAGCACAGGGAGTATTGGAAGCTTGTCTGATTGTTCACCCCCTGTGCACACAGCTTAGCGTTGAGATGCTCATTGCCCAAGCTCACGTGGTTAGTTCTTTCTAGTTCCAGAAACTGCTGCCTTGGTGCATGCTAGGGCCCACAGATCCCTGGGAGCACCTCCGTTGGTGCACTGCACAACCAGTTCCCTGAGAACCTCTCCTCTTCTCTCAGGAATCTCACCTCCCTACTAATTGCTTCTCAAAGCATTCTTCCTTTTCTCTCCCCATTCAGATAACCTACCTAGTCCCAAAGCTTTATCTGATCCTTGCTAGAGGAAGTCTTTTAGTTGGCCTCACCAAAATCCTCTTAAATTCATGGACACAAACCTTAGATTGGCTCTCAGTACTGCTTAGTGACTCTGCCAAGTTTCTTGACTAGGCTTGTTTTCCTGTTGTCCAAAGTAACCATTTCATACCTTCTATCTCTCCTAACCACCTCCTGCCTCTCACTTCTCTCCTCACCCTTAACAAATGCTCTCTTCAAAAATCATTTTTTAACAATGAGCCAGGTGCTCAAATGCCCTCAAATTCCCTATGCCAAATGTATAAATCCATTTGAACTCATCTTCTTCAATCCTAAAAGCAAATGATCAAATTTCCTAATTCCTATTAAATACCAATTTCTTTACCTGTCCCCTGGATTATTTTACCTCTTTCTTAGGAATTTTCTCCTACCTATTCTCTCTTGCATTGCCAGTCTCTCCTTCTCACCTGCATTATTTTCATCAATATACACACTTTATTGTTATTTTCTATTTTGAAGTTAAAAATAATTCTCCTTTATTTTTACTGAGATATACTATCTTTAGTTACTCACCTCCTGTTGACACTTTTTCTCCTATCATGTTGGTTTCTGCCGTCACCATTTAAACAAAAATGCTCTTGTGAAGAGCACCAACAAACTTCATGTGGCTCCATTGTATTGACATTGCTAACCCACATTTTCACTCAACTCCTCAGAATCACTCAACATACTTCTTACTCCTCAAAACACCTGTGTTTTTTTAAATTGTATAATGTCTAGTTGCTTGTATAATACCTGGTATAATGCCTAGCTTGTATAATACCTAGTTTTCCTCAAATCAGGTCTGGCCATGATGTTTTACCTTGGCCTGGTTCAAAATTTCCAGGTCTTGAGAAGCCAGGCATTACAGAACCCATTTTTTAGGAGCTAGTGTCTAGACCAAGTACTGGCTGGGCCAGGAAGGTTTTGATTTTTCTAGGGTTAGAAGAAAGAACACCAAGTAATCATAAAGCCAATCATTTTATTGCTTCAATTCATTTGACTCTTGGCTCATACTGAGATGACACAATTAATAATGGAGTTTTTAAATTAGCATTCTAGTGGCCAGTATTTATTTAACTCTGCCTCAAACCTCCTCTATTTGGAAAAGACTGATATCTCCAGCTTGAAGGTAGGGCCCATTTCTTAACAAGGAAATTTCATATTGAGATATATCTTCTTCTGTGTCCATTCTTCTCTAAAATGCCAGTAGTTGAATTAATTTACAGCCAGGAACAGCCGATAAATACTAAATTTAATTTATACTAGGGATGGCCAACTTTATTGCACACAATTTTTAATATCTTGTCACTTCACAGCCCCCAAGACTACTAGGCAAAAACACTTTGCAGAGCCTGAACTCTACAGTTATGTGTGGCTGTGTCCAGGTGATCTTGCTTCTGGAAATGTTGGTCCATTCAGCTGCACCTGCAATGGCAGTTCACTGTGGCATGCAGCAGATACATGTGTGAGTGTCTATGTTCAGCTGTGCTCTTGAGATTTCCTAAGTTACTCAGGAGGGAGCCCTAAGAAACAAACTATTTTGAAAAGTCATATTCTTCAGATGGGTCACTGTCAGTCAGGAAGGTCCAGGATACAGTAATCTGAGTCATTCAACAGCACCCCAGCATTCACTGGCCATGACTGTCCACTTAAAAATCTGTATGTGATCCCAAGAGTTCCAGTCTTCCACATCAAAATTACAACACCTACAACTTCTCCAGAGTGTTTTTCTTATAAGTTCTCCCAATCCCTTAAAAGCGATTAAGGAACAATTGCTCTGAAATTTATCTTCCACCTTTCCATCTCAAAATAACAAATTCCAATTGCATAGGAGTTTCTGGCTTTGGGTTTTCTACCTGCTAGACTTGGCAGAGAGGAATGAATGAATTTGCTGCCTCCTGTTTTTTTTTTAACTTTTTCTTTTTCAAGTGCTGGCATTCAGGTTCAGAGAAAGAACTGAGGCAGGACTGACCTAGCAATTTCTGTAGCCTGACATAGTCTCACTGAGGACTTCTACACCATGTGTTCTCATGTTGACTCAGTGAATAGTAGGCAAACATTGAATGATGGCTGTGGGCTCTGGAGATTGAAAGTGCAGGTTCAACCACAGTGTGAAAGAAGAAATTGGTAACAAACAGAAACGTGTGAAATTGTTCAGAGCGGCCAAAAAATCTCAGTGTTCAAGATTTAGTAAGTGAACAGGAAACCATTTCTTGGGCTTTGGAACTGAGGTATCAGAAACTTAGGAAGGAAAATAAATAATTTAAAGAGACAGGTTTTACTTTATATAGAAGACCCATGAAAAAGAGAAAAGACCTTCCAACCCAGCAAATATACATGCTAGCCCTATATACAGCATAGGTGGGAAAAGTTAATCTTTTCCAGTCAATCTAGGCAGAAGGCTGGAATTGTGGGCTATACCTGCTTGAAAGAAGACTCTTAACAGAGGAGAATGAAAAGAGGACCCAGAGGGAGAAAGCATTGTCATGAATATAACTGATAGGGCATTTTGGCTGCACTGGAGTAAAAAAATTACTCAGAGCTTCTAGAACATGATTGCTGAGGAAAGCCAAAAGCTGGGGAAATAATCACACGGCAGAGTTCACAATAGCTGTCACCAAAAACCTGGTTGGAACATCAGCAATTTATGATAAGACATGAAGACAGAAGATACTTTCTATGCAGTTTAAGAAAGTTTTTTCTCTGCAGAGATATAATTTATTTGGTTGAGTTTTCATTTCTCTGGGAAAAATAAATTGCTTTTACATGAATGGAGGGCTCACCTGGGTTGGAGGGGCTCAAATTATGTTTAAAGTGGCACAGTGAATTCCAGGCATGCCACATAGCTGAGAGTTTATTATCTGGATGATGCTATCATCTGGTGCCCATTGTTTAACTCTCTGGGAAGTTTGTTTACATGAGAAGGCTGAATCTAACTTGAAAAGAGACCACTAACTTGAAAACCTGGACCACCCAATTCTCCCTCCCAAGTTGAAGGTAACAGAGCGGCGGGGACAAGTTTGGCAGAGATAACTGGATTTTTCTAATATTCATCTCTTTCTCTAAAGCGAGTAGCTTTACCCTGAAGATGCCCACAGAGTTAGCTCTGAGACCCATTAAGTTAATAAAAGAAAGAAGAAAATGTAGGCAAGAACTGAACTCTAGAAGAAACTCAATGTTTTCTTCCACTGCTCTTTGTTCCAAGGACCACTGTGGGTAATCAGATTTCAGGATGCCTCATTGGTTATGTTTGTGGTTAGAATAAAGTGTTGATATGGTCTTATTTCTACAATGCAGAAAAGATAAAAATATTTGTCTTCAGTTCCTCCTGCCACTACCCCTTTGTAAATAATTTGAGAAAGCTACATATATGATTTTTGTAAACCTACACGAAAGGAAAACTTGAAGTTGTCATGATCGGATTTACATTTGGGAGGTATATCTGGGGCCATAGTATGAAGGGTAGATTGAATGGCAAGAAATAAGTGGCAAGAAAATCAATTAGCAGATAAGAGAGGTTGAAGCAGCTCTGAACCAGAAAATTCACTATCCTTTGTGGGTGCACATATTTTGAAGATTTGTTCTAAAGTTTCTCAGGCTCTAAAATTACCCCTATATTCACATATCAAATAAATGGAGCTATATGGATGTGGGCAAACAATCCATATTCACACTATTCATATGCTTTTGCAGACTTTAATCACACACACACAAGCTGACCCATCTGACCCACCCCAGACTGTGGTTTGACTTTTCATGCCAGCCAAGCAACTTCATATCTCTGGTCCTTGTAGTCTCTCTCTCTGTCTCTCTCTCTCTCTCTCTCCCTGTCTCTCTCTGTCTCTCTCTCTCTCTCTCTTCCCTTCTTCCCTTCTCTCCTCCAACCCCCACCAGCTTTTTCCACATTATCTGCTATCTTTTTTTAGATACGAAAAACAGTGGTGCACACAGAGCTGTGGGGAAAGGGCTGTCTGCTGGGGTATTAATGCCTTTTGTAATACTGCCCAGAGATTAGTTGATCTTAGGGCTAGTTAACTGTGTTCCTGAGTCTTTCTTGGTCATCTGTAACATAAGAAGAGGAGAACAACCCATTTATCTAATCTGTGTACACAAACCACATACATCTCTCCTTTAGAGGAAGATTCACCTTAGATTGGATTCATTCAGGAACTGATTGCACACCCATCAGAGGTAGGAAGTTAAGAGCAACAAAAATAACAATTATACTCACAATATAGTATATTTCTGATGTACTTTACAAATGCACACCATGGTCAAATAAATTATTCATTTGCCAAAACAAGCTTCTGTAGTAGCTTCGCGGATCCAGAAACTGGGGCTCAGAGTTGAGTTATCTGCCTAATGTGACACAGCTGAAGGTGGCAGAACTAGGATTCAGCCCAATGCCCCCTGGACCCAATTCCAGTTCTTTCCCAACTCCACCCTATATAAACGTGTATTAAGTCACCCAGGCTGCTTTATCACTTTGAAAGATGGAGGATCATTCACTTTGTCTCACCTCCTTAGTTTTTCTTTAATCATTTCGTTAGAAAGCAATATATTTTGAAAAAATTTCTAGTCTGTCAAAGCTAGTTACACTTCTCAGTATTCATACAGTATGATTTTCCATAAAACTGAATAGTCTCTGTATTTAGTGTGTTCTTCCTTGCTGAGTCTGAGAGAAAAGGTGTCTGTCAATGTGTCAACATTGCTATAATTCTCTGAGGTCATGGCTATTTAAACTCTCACATCTATAAATTGCTTCACTGTCTCCAGGGATTCTTTCGGTAAAAGAAAAAAAAATGCAACTTTAATTTTCATATCCAACATCCAAATTGAGAACAGGGTGGGTAATTTCCATCATCCAACTGCTGCTACAAAATGAACCAGTTCACCAAAAATTTCTCATTCTGTGGCATTTTGTTTCCTGTAGAAAATATTTCAAAAACCACATTTGCCCAGAATCCTTTTCTAGAAACAACTGCACCATCCTTCACATTGGATGCTCTAAGCCTGACCTTCTAGAAATAGAAGTTAGTCCACGTTCCTTGCATCCTTTTAGTCTCCTGGCCAATCTCCAAACAAACAAAGCAGTTGGGAACACTGAAATTTCCTTCCTTTGTTCCTGCCTTGTTTGCTAGATTCTTAACTAAACCATTAGCCTTGTCTTGGGATTTGGATCCCACACTTACTCTTGATGTGAGCACATCTGGGCCTTGTCATATAGTGAGAAAAACAACTGTTCTTATTGCTCAAGCACATTATTAGATAACAACACGGCATGAGCCAAGTCTGTTAATTAAAGAAAAGTCTGGGCTAGCCACGAAGGAAGAACAAACTTGTACAGTATTGTTCTTTCCAGCCTAGATGCAAAATCATTTTTTCTTCCTCCATTTTCTTTTTGGAATACCTCTTAGAGATTCTTAAATCTGACATAGTTGGGCAGGTGTATTAAGAGGCTGAGAAAGGTAAGAATATATGAAATGTGAGTTGATGTCATGAGAACACTTAGCTTTCTATAGGTCTCTCAGATGCCCACATCAGAGATCCTGAGGAAGTCTTCATTCCCATGTCTCAACAAAGTATGATAGATAAAACAAAATCAGCATTGTCTGCTCTATGTTTCAGGAAAAAACTCACCCTCTGTTATGGTTTGGCTGTGTCCCTACCCAAATCTCATCTTGAGTTGTAGCTTCCATAATTCCCACATGTCATGGGAGGGACCAGGCGGGAGATAATTGAATCATGACATTAGGGGTGGGTCTTTCCCATGCTTTTCTCTTCATAGTGAATAAGTCTCACAAGGTCTGATGGTTTTATAAAGGGGAGCTCCTCTACACAAGCTCTCTTGCCTGCCACCATGTAAGATGTGCCTTTCCTCCTCCTTTGCCTTCCATCATGATTGTGAGGCCCCCCCAGCCATCTGGAAATGTGAGTTCACTAAACCTCTTTCCTTTATAAATTATCCAGTCTCAGGTATGTCCTTATTAGCAGCATGAGAATGACTAATATACCCTCCTAGTTCCTGATTTGACAAGGGATGTTTGGAGGTTTTAATAACTTAGACAAGATTCATAAGGTAGCATATATTTTTTAAAAAATCACAAAGGCCTATAGGAGATCTTATCAATTCAAATCTACTATGGATTTTTTATAACAATAAATATTCTACATATTTCTGGAGCACTTTGATTTGGACATCAGAAGAATATGTTGGGGAAATATGACCTGCAAAATCAAAGCCCACCCTGTGTTGGGGAAGTAATGACTCATCAACTACAAAATCAAAACCCAGGCTTAGTTTGGACAAAAATACTCTTTGAAGTCTCCAGGCATGTCTTTTAGAAGAGCAGAGAGAATCCTGTTGTTGTAAAATCAATGAAGACATTGCTGTCGAAGAGTATCAGGAATTCACCCATCAATAGTGTCTTATGCTTTTGCCATTGCTTATAGCGGGCTTGTTGCCCAGGTGCAGATTACTCCTTGTGGGTGAGGGACGTCAGGAAGAAAGGAAGAAATAGGGCAAAGACTAAGGAAGACAGTGTATCACACAGGACAGGTTAAGTTATGCTGCGCTGATTAAACATGCACACACACACACACACATACACACACACATACACACACGCACACACACAATCCCAATGGCTTAAAACAGTAAATGTCCATTTCTGACTCACACTACATTGACCTTCCTGGATATAGGATTTTGGCTCTGTTTGCATTATCAACATCTGCATTCAGGGATACAGACTGAAGGCACAGCCACTGTTTATGACAATGCATTTCACCATTACCATGAGAAAGGAGAACATGTTGTTGCATGCTCTAGCTATTAATGCTCCCATTGAGAGTGACAGGTGTCAGCCATGCTCACAGGTCATTAACCAAATAATAATCACATAATCACACCTAATGAGCAAGGAAGTACAATCCTAACTATGTACCCAGAAGGGAAGAGTTGAACACTTATTATTGTCCTAAAGATTACTGTAGCCTGGTGCAGTGGCTTACGCCTGTAATCCCAGCACTTTGGGAGGCTGAGGCAGGTGGATCATGAGATCAGGAGTTCAAGACCAGCCTGGCCAAGATGATGAAACCCCCGTCTCTACTAAAAATACCAAAAAAATAGCCAGGCTTGGTGGCGGATGCCTGCAATCCCAGCTACTTGGGAGGCTGAGGCAGGAGAATTGCTTGAACCCAGGAGGCAGAGGTTACAATGAGCTGAGATCGTGCCACTGCACTCCTGCCTGGGTGACAGAGAGAGACTCTATCTCAAAAAAAATTATTGTTGTTAGAGAAGAAAAAGGCAGGGCCAATGATTAGCCCTGGGCCTGAGCTGAGAGAATTGTGCACTGCAGAGAAGCACATGACACAGGAACAGGCAGTTTCTACCTAGGCAGGATTCTTACATTTGTGGTAGGAAACCAGCAGATATGAGAAGCGATTTTCCCAAATTCCCACAGGTAGGAGGTGGCAGAATCAGGACTTCTGGTTTTCTGCATCCATGTCTGGTGCCTCTGCCATATTCTAAAGTGTTCCAATGAGCAATTGAAAGCTTGATCTCTACCCTCCAGGCACTTCCAATGAAGCTGGCTAAAAATAAAAAACAAAAACAAAAACAACAACAAAAAAAACTTGATATTGGACATACGAGAAATAACTGAAACTCCTCAAGCTAATATAACAGGCCTAAGAGGAGTTCAGTGAACAGGTGCATGGTGCAGCCAGGGATGGCCCTGGGAAACCTTCCTGAAGGAGGCAGGATCCACAACCACCGTCAAGGGGTCAACAGGATTTGTTTCATGGAAAGAAAAGGCAGAAAATCGTAAAGATGAGCAGAACAGGAGGAAACAAGGCAAAAAGGAAGGAAAGAGTCACACAGAGCGTCTGTGAGAGCCCCAGAGACTAGGCGAGGCAGGATGGAGGCCGGCTGCTGGGATGCAAGCTGGATGGGCAAACAGAACATGGGAGCTGGGCTTTTTGCAGGAGGACATAGGAAGCCATGAGGCTCCTGAGCAGAGGCATAATGTGGTGAGGCTGGGGTTTAAGAAGGTGGCTTAACAGCACAGTGATTTAGAGGTGGGCAATAGAGAACTTAAAGGAAACCCCCATTCCCATAGGAGACTGTTACACTGATCTTGATAATAGGCAGGTTTGGAGTTGGCTATTTAGATGCCAAAATTCATCAATCCAACAGTATTTTTTAAGTCTTGGTTTTAGTTCATTGATACTGTTTGGGTGCTCATTCTTAGGATAGAAGGCCTGAGCTGTAATCCAGGAAAGGAGCCTCTCCTCAGCCTGCATGGTGAGGAGGAGTTACCTAATGAGTGCTCTTTAGCAGAAGGCTCAGCCAGCAGCAGCTACTCCGAAAAACTTTCATGTCAGGGAGATTAAAAAATCATTGTCCTTAGGATGCTGAGCTCACCATCTAGTAGGCCTGAGGGTAACCTCTCTAAGCTGACAAAACTGGACCTTTCTGGGCCTGTCATTATCTCGCTGAACCTGAAAATGAGCCTTGACCTGAACACCAGGCCCGAGCTCCTTGCCATTAACTCTACCAACTACCACAGCTTTGCTGGAGCCAAGAACTCGAACATGCATCCTTGGGAGAACTTAATTGCCTGCTTATTGCTATTGCTTTGATTAATGAGGGCAAACCTGCTCTCAGCAATGCCTCATAAAAGGAGTGAGCCGCCACATTTTAGAAAGCAAGAGCCAAGAACCCTGAACCACCTCCTGGCCAACCATCAACACGTTACCACCACACAGAGACGCGCATGCATGGGTACACATACATGCCACAGGCACGTGTACACATGCACACACTGCCTTTGAGGATCCTATGCATGCTCGCCACTAGTACAAGCCTGTCTCCCTCCCTCCCTTCCTTCCCCAGGCTCTCCAGGCTACCCCTGCTCAGCTGATTGCCCTGACCTCAGGCTCCTACAGGTCCAGCCATGGAAACAGCTGGAGGTGACAGGGAAGTCAGGCGTTTTCAGCCAACGTGCAGTGGTGAAGCTGGGCTAGGACTCATTCTGATTCAATTTATACTCTGTTTCCTTCTGAGTTTATGGCACTTTTACTTTCATGGCCCTGAAAAAGCATCTTTGTCAAAATACACATCATAGCATTATGCCTGCGGAGGAGGCACTTTACGATGCCCTCCTCTGTAAGGGCATAAACAGGAGGGCGTGACATAACTCCTATTTATCTGTTGGTGACTAGCTCCCACAGCAAGGCAGAAAAGAGCTTGCTGCTTCCATTAGGATGCTTTCTCTTCCTAAGGACTGTAATTAGCTAAATGCTCTTAAACTCCACCATAAAAACAGCTGGGTATATTTCTAGGTGATGGTTCAATGCTTTACTCATAGGGATCTTTGCCTTTCCAGATGTTAATTGCAGCCTGGGAAAAATAGGAAAAAAAAAAAGTAAATAACAAAACTGGAGACCCAGGCAGGAGGCAATTTGTAACAGAACTATGTGCTAGGGCATGGAGGGGAGAGACAAGGAGAGCTGGTTCCTGACATGTGGCCAGCCCACCCAGGCAGGATGGACACTGGAGGAGGTCAGTTGGCTCCAAGCTGAGGCCAGATGGAAGAGATGAGGTCTATAATAAGGACTTGAGCAAATGAAAGGTTATAAGCCACCCCTCCCCATAAGCAAGTCAACGAATTTTATTTTCAAAATGACATTAAATGTGTATAAAGGCTGAGCTAAAATAGCTTTTCTGTAGACATTTTAATTGCAAAATTATGGGTAAAATGATTGTGACTGAGCTGTTTCCTCTTTTCTGGCAGGGTTGGCACCCTCCTTTGCGCTTAGCATATGCTTGATCAATTTCCGGAGTACCCAGAATTAAGATAGACCCTGTGCGTAGTTGTCTTAGTAGTAAGCAGATTAACTGACTGGAGCCAGGAATGTCGTCATAAACATGAAGCCCCGTACCAGGGCATCTTGGCAGGGCAATGTTCCTAGCTGCAGGTAAGAAGCTGGTACACTATGATGAGGTCTCACCCACTGGAAAATATTTGGAGTACCCTTCAATGCCAGGGGCTCCAAGAATCACATTGGCTAAATGATCAGACATGAACAAATAGGCTGAGACTGGAGTCAAACCTAAAAACTGGGCATATATAGAAGAGAAGACAGGGTGGACGCCCTAGAGGGAATAAGGTCCCAGGACTAATCAGTGACAAAGAAAAAGTAGAGTTTTCATGGAGGCCCTGTGTCTTGGGTCTTGGAGGGCAACTTTGCCAAGGCATCCCAACAGTCAGAACTGAAGTGGCTTCAGACTTCTTGTCTCACTCAAGAATGCCCTGGGTGCTGAGGGTCACCAAGATGCAGAGAAGGAGGGGTGCTGTGGGAAAGGAAAGGTCTGTCCACCAAACAGTGAGGAGCCTGGGAAGCAAAGTGGGGCTGGCACAGAGACCTGACTCTCACCCTAGCATGAACTCTTTCCCTTCATGCTACCCACAAAAGAACAATAAGGACAACCAGACAACCACCACCACCAAAATAGTAAGGTTTTCTACATGCCCAGCACTGTCCTAAGAGTTTATATAGATTAACTTTTTGTGCCTCCTTCTTAAAAAAAGGTGCTATACCATTTTAAGCATAAGGAAACTGAGACAGAGAGATAAGTAACTTCTCTTGCAGGTCGCACAGCTGGTGACACAGCTGAGATTTTAGCCCAGAAGCTCTGACTTTAGAGCCCAATTATCATGCTATACTGACTCTGAAAACTGTTGAGAGAATAAAGGAATGAGTAAGCGAGAATTCTTAGTGGATAATGAAGTCCTAGGTTGAGGAAGCTTGAGAACCTGGCATGGTTCAAGGAGACTCAGTCTCCTGGGACCCTCTTACTAGTGATGGGGATCAACTATAAGGCATCATAGAAAATAAGAAACTAAATGTGTTTTGTTGTATATTCTGTGTCAAGCTAGGGATCTATTTTCTCCAAGTCAAAGGCCAGGCCTGATGGTGTTAGAACTGTGCTGTTTAGTGGACAAAGCATCAAGGTTTACATGGGTTCTGCAAATCTGGAATTTGGGTGGAACTGCCAAAGTCAGGAGCAGAATCAAGGCCAGGGCCAACTAAAGAGAGAGACCCATTATGATAGAAAACTGAACCCAGGAACCAGGTAACCAGAGCCCTTCCATGCAGAACTTGAAGAGAGGGAAGTCTGGAAACAAGAGCATATCTGGAAGGTCCTAAAAAACTTCCCAAGATCTGCTTTGCTTGGAGCCTCTTTGCCTCCCCTGGTCATACAGAATTGGAAGAATGGGCCTGACAGCTATCCTGTGAGAAGGAAAACACACACTTCAGGGTCTTAGCCAGAGCCACACCCTCTCCCTTCAGGTTTCTTCACCTCTGCAGTCCCAGAGTGTGCTTCTTGAACTCTTGTGGCCTGAACCACGGGGGTCAACATGCACACTGTTGTTCTTTACAAGCCTAGACCATGCTTCAGCTTTTGGAGTTTTTCAAATGCCACCTCCTCTATAAACCACCTTTTGACCTCTTCCACCTGGATTTGTGCATCCTTTCTGCAATTTCCCACTGCCTGCAGCTGAGTCTCAACGCTTGTCATCACAGCTCTCTGTGTACCCGACCCTTAGCCCTCACTCCCCTCAGAAGACACACCAGTCCCAGGCCCTCACTCACTTCATTTATGCCTCAGCTCAATGTCACCTGACCAGACAGGCCTTCCCTGACAAACCTTGAGAGGTTTGTCAAAAGAGGAGCTCCTCCCTCCCAGTCATTTTTTATCCCTCTACCATGATTTATTTTCCTTTATGACACATATCAATACATACTATCATATTGCTCACTAATTGCCTTAGTGGCTGTCTTCATTTGCTGTATGAGGATCTATGGTAGGCTGAATAAAGCTCCTGCCCCCTAAGATGCCCATGCCTTAATCCTCGGCGCCTGCAAATGTATTACATTGCATGGCAAAGGGCTTCACAGGTGTGACTAAGTTAAGGGTCTTGTGCTGTGAGTGGGACCACAAGCCAAGGAATGCAGGTGACCTTTAGAATCTGGAGGAGACAAAGAACAGATTTCTCTGGAACCTCCCGAAGGAACCAGTGCTGCCAAATCTTGATCTGACCCTGCACAACTGATTTCACACTTCTGCCCCAAACTGTGAAACAACAAAATTGTATTGTGTGATGATTAAGCATCAACTTGATTGGATTGAAGGATGCAAAGTATTGTTTCTGGGTGTATCTGGGTTTTTCTGGGTGTTGCCAGAAGAGATTAACATTTGAGTCAATAGACAGGCAGAGGAAGACCCACCCTCAATGTGGGTGGGCACCAATCAATTGGCTCCCAGCACGGCTAGAAAAAAGCTGGAGGAGGAAGCTGACTTGCTGAGTATTTTGGTCTTCATCTTTCTCCCATGCTGGATGCTTCCTGCCCTCGAACATCAGACTCCAAGTTCTTCAGCTTTTGGGCTCTTGGCCTTACACCAATGGTTTGCCAAGGGCTCTCAGGCCTTCGGCCACAGAGTGAAGGATGCACTGTCAGCTTTCCTACTTTTGAGGTTTTGGGACTCAGACTGAGCCACTATTGGTTTCCTTGCTTCTCAACTTGCAGATGACCTATCATGGAACTTCACCTTGTGATCATGTGAGTCAGCTCTCCTTAATAAACTCCAGTCATATGTACACATATCTTATTAGTTCTGTCCCTCTAGAGAACCCTGACCAATACAGATTGTTTTAAGTTTGTGTGAAATTGTTGCAACAGTGATCGAAAACTAATGTAGGATGTTCACCACTATTCCCAGCTTCTAAGCTAATGACTAGCACAGAGTAGGAAATGAATGCATACTTGTTGAATGAATAAATAAATTTCTGACTTTCAATATGAAACTAAAATTTTAAGGGCAGATATAGGCCAGATCTGGCTTTTTTTTTTTTCTCCCCAGCTCCTGGCCCTTTGCACAAGGTCATCATTCAAGAAAAAAAAAAATACTATTTCATTTAGAGAGTAAAAGGTTCAAAACAGTATTTCCAGCTACATTCAAGCATCAATTTACTGAGTCCCTGCTGTGTACCACATACTTTAGTAAGCATTAACAATATAAGACCGAAAAAATCCTGGAGCTATTTGTTCTGTTGCTCACAACTTAGTCATGGAGAGAGGGATTGAAACCAGCACTCCACTCTGCAAGAACTGAGAGCTAACCTTAACTGAGCACCTACTATCTTACAGGTATTATGCTGTGTTACATTTTAATGAAGATCTTAAGAGCGTAGGCTTTTTAAACAGACAAAGTTGAGTTCAAATTTTAGTTTTGTGCAACCTATTTCATCTCCCTGGGCCTCGGTTTCCATATAAACCTGGAAAAACAATACCTAACCCACAGAATGGATGAGAGGGTTAAATCAATGAATGTATATAAACACTGTGATGGTTAATTTTTTGCATCAACTTGGCTGGGCCATAGTACCCAGATAGTTGGTCAAATGTTATTCTGGATTTTTCTATAAAGGTGATTTTGGATGAGATTAACATTTAAATACATGGATTTTGAGTAAAGTCGATTGCTCTCCATACTGTGGGTGGGCCTCATCCAATCAGTTAAAAGCCTAAATAGAACCAAAGGATGACCTCCTCCAAGTAAAAGGGAGTCCTCCAGCTGACTGTATTTGCATTTCAACATGCAACTCCAGCTTTTTCTGGGTCACCAGCCTGCTAGCTTATCTTCTTGAACTCTTGTGGCCTGAACCACGAGATTCAAGAGGACAAGAGGAACTCCACCCTCCCAGTCATTCTCTATCCTTCTACCGTGATTTAATTTCCTTTATGACACATATCAATACATACATATTGCTCACTAATTGTTTTAGTGGTTGTCTCCATTTGCTGTATGAGTGTCTATGGCAGGCTGAATGAAGCTGAATATATATGGAATTGGCTCACATGATTTTGAACCTGCCAGGCTCCATAATCATGCAAGCCAATTCCATACACATTCCATTGGTTCTCTTTCTCTGTGGAATAGTGATTAATACAAACATACTACATAATGCTTAGCCACATAGTAAGCACTTAATGCATTGTATATCAATTAATACAACATTTTAAGTATTATTATCTTCATTATACAGAAGAGGGAATTAAGATTATAGAGATAAAACACCTTGCCTTTTGCCATGCAGATAATAAATGCCAGAGACATGATTTACACTCAGTGGTACCTGCCACTTAAGCCTAGACTCTCCATCCACAATATTGCCCTCACTCTGCTTTAAAAGTTGGCCAGGCAGCATGCTAAGTAAATTGCAGATTATTTTAAAGGATGTAGACAAAGCGTCAAAATGTAGTGAAACTCCAGAGTTCTTAATACCTTTCCGGGCATCCCAGTTGTTCAATCAATATCGAATGCCTTATTTCATTGGATTGCATTAGACCACCTAGGCTCTTTGGAACTTCTGTAATAAAATGAGCATCAGGAAGATGCCATATATCAATCAAAGGATTCTCCAAGCAGCAGTCTCCCCTTTTATCCTTGCATTTTAATTCATTGTGTAACCCATTTGCATCCTCCTGCCATCACCCAGCTACTGACTTTATTCTCTAAATTCCTTCTGATTATTTCTTAAATATATAGATTCACTGTGAGCTAGTCCACCCTCTCTTCTACCCTTAGTAAATATGTGTAAGTAAGCATACATTTCTTGTTTTCAAAAAAGGAGCTGCTAATAAATAATTTAGGGATATAATATTTACAAATTGTTGTTATCATTGCTTTAGGCCAAACTGAGGCTTGGAAGTATCCAAACATTCCTGAATGCAATTACTTCTGCCTCCAGTGAAGATGAATGAACTAAGACCAGATTTACCCTCCCACCTGAAGCAACAAAAACATAGACACAGTATATTAAACCATTGACAAGACAGTGGCCATCAGGAAAGGAAGGGCAGTGATCTCGGATAAACAGAAAATAAACAAGATTCCCTAAAATTGCTGCAGCATATTTTTTTGACAGAGTTTCTAGGCCACAATGCAAGGTAGGAAAACCCAATTTCTCCCTAAGTTGAGGATACTGAACCAAGGGTCTGGAGACTCCAAGGTAGTAGACGTTTCAAAGTAGAGTATTGAGGAGGAGAGATCTACATGGTGATAGAACTCTGAAGATCTTCAGGGAGAAAACTGGAAAAGTACTCAGGGATGGAAAAAAATGACCCCAAATGTTTAGAGATAACAATGCTGGACTTCACACAGGGCTGGGAAATGTTCCTGCTTCCATCTTCCAGACTGAGAAACCTCAAGAGCCATGGGACACATTGAGTAAAGCAAACAAAAAGGTCTTGCATCTGCAATGGAGAATACCAAAACCTAGATAAGCCCTGCTCCGGTCCTGCCTGACAAATCTTAAAAGCAAGACCTGAAAGGATCAAACTGTTTTCATGTAACTTAACTGTATATCATTTTTAGAAGAAAAAAACAATAGTATCTATATTAATTTTTTAAAATCCAGCATTCAATAAAGTAAAATTCATAATGACTGCCATCAAACCAAAAATTACTAGGCATGTAAAGAGGCAGAAAATAAAACAACACATACCGGAAAGATAAACCAATTGAAACCAACCCAAAACTGACTTTGTTAGATTTAACAAATATCTTATAAGTCTATACCGAATGTCAAAAAAAGTAATTGGAAACATGGAGGACATTTTTTCAAAAATACACAAATCAAACTACAAAAGATGAAATCCATAGGTTTGAGATAAAAAGTACACTGAATGGAGATTGACAGCAGATTAGGCATTACAGAAGAAAAGATCAGTAAAGTTGAAGACAGAGCACTAGAACATACCAACATGAAATATAGATATGAAAAACATTTTAATGTAAAGAACATCAGTAAGCTGTGGAATAATTTCAAGAGGCCTAATATGTAATGGAAACCCCCAAAGAAGCAGGGCCCAGAAAATCTACTTCCAGAAGTACTTGAAAACTATCCAAATTTGATGAAAACTATAAACCCACAAATCCAAGAAGCTGAGTGAAGCACAATCACAAGAAACATGAAGAATGCTATCCCAAGGCACATCATAATCATATTGCTCAAAATCAGTGATAAAGATAAAATGTTAAAAGCCAACAGAGGGGAAAAAAGACTTGTTATATACAATAAAACAAAGACTTTTTTTAAAGCAGCAGACATCTCTGCATTGGAACAATGAAAGTGAGAAAACAGTAAAGTAACACTCTTAAAGTACTAAAAGAAAAAATAAAACCTGTGTATTTAAAATTTTATACCCAATAAACAATATTCTTCAGAAATGAAGGCAGAATAAAGGCTTTTTTAGACATCTAGCCTCTGAAATCTATCACTTGCAGATCTACACTACCAAAAAATGTTAAAGGAAGCCCTTTAGGTGGAAGGAAAATAATAACAGACAGTAATATGGCTCTACACAAAAGAATGAAGAACCCCACAACTAAATAAGTAAATATATGAGTTTTTAAAATTACTTGCGCTGTTAAAGGAGCATTGTTTCAACAAAAATAATAATATAGCATGGAGCTTAAAACAACTATAGAAATAAATGTATAAAAACAACAGCATAAAGAAAACAAGGGGATAAATGGAAGTATAACTGTTGTAAAGTTCTTTGCACAATACATTATGTGGTATAATGTTATTTGAAGGTAGATTGTGATAAGTTTAAGATATATACCATAAACCTTAACACAGCCACTAAAGTAACAAAACAAATCACTATATCTAGCAAGCCAAAAAAGGAAATAAAAGAAAATTATTTTAAAAAATTGAATCAATCCAAAAAAGGCAGAAAAAGAGGTAAAATAGAAAAGAACAGTTAAGGCAAATAGAAAACAAATAGAAAGTGTGTATAAATCATAATTATATTAATAATGGCAATAAACTTAAATTGTGTAAATACCTCAATTAAAAGGCAGTGTCAGATTTCATAAAGCAGGGATCCTCAAATAGATACTGCTTTCACAATATGCACTTCAAATATAAAAATACAAATAAGTGGCTGAGCACGGTGGCTCACACCTGTAATCCCAGCACTTTGGGAGGTCGAGGCGGGCGGATCATGAGGTCAGGAGTTCAAGACCAGCCTGACCAACATGGTGAAACCCCATCTCCCCTAAAAATACAAAAATTAGCTGAGCATGGTGGTGTGCACCTGTAATCCCAGCTACTCGGGAAGCTGAGGCAGGAGAAGCACTTGAACCCGGGAGGCAGAGGTTGCAGTGAGCCGAGATTGTGCTACTGCACTCCAGCCTGGGCAACAGAGCAAGACTCCATCTCAAAAAAATAAAAATAAACTAAAATAAAAGCAATGGGAAAAGATAGAACAAGATAGCACTAACATAAAAAAAAGCTACACAGGCTACATTAATATCAGACAAAGAAGATTTCAGAGCAAATAATGTTACTAAAGATAACGAATGATCATTTCATAATGATAATGAGGGAAATTTATCAAAGAGACATAAAAATCCTAAACATTTATGCAGCTAATAATAGTTTCAAAATGCATGAAGCAATAACTGATAGAACTACAAGGAAAAATAGACAAAATTAAAAATATAGACAGATATTTCAATACCCCCTTTTAATAATGAATAAAATAATTAGACAGAAAATAGAAACAGATATTGAAGACCCAAATAACTTAATTAACATTTACATAGCACTTCATCCAAAACAGCAGAATATACAGTCTACGTTTTGTATATACAGAATATAATTTGTGTGACTTGAATCCTTTTAAGCTCATGACTTGTTTTTATGGCGCAGAATGTGGAACATGTTCTGCCTTGGTAGATGTTCCTTTTGTTCTTGAAGAGACTGTATATTTTGCTGTTTTGCATGGAGTATTATGTAAATGTTAAGCTAACTCCAGAAATAAGACAAGGACATTCATTTTACCTATGTTTACTTAACATTATATTCGAGGTTCTACACCAAATTGAAGAATGCGAATAAGTTGGGGTATATTCTTTACTTTATTCACAGATAATATAAACATCTATGTAGAAAATTTGAAAGAATCTACAAAAGCTAGAATTGAGCTTATCAAGTTCACAGAAAGGGACACCAATATACAAAAATCTATTTTATTTCTAGATACTAGGAAAAATAATCAAAAAATCAAATTTAAAAATACCATTTACAATTGCATCAAAAATATGAAATATTTAGAGTTAAGTATGACAAATAATGTGAAAGATCTGTACAGTGAAAACTATAAAACACCACTGAGGGAAATAAAAGAAAACTAAATAAATGGAGAGATACATTATATTCATGGGTCAAAAGGGAAATATTGTTAGAATGTAAATTCTCCTCATATTAATAAATTCAACATCATCTTAATCAAAATACCACAAAGTTTTTAAAATTAAAATTGATAAATTGAATCTAAAATGTATATGGAAATTCAAAGGATCTAGAAAAGCTAAACCAAATTTGAAAAAGAACAAATTTGGAGAGAAAATACTACCTGATTTCAAGACCTACTGTAAAGCTACAGCAATGAAGACTATACGGTATTTATGTAAAAGACACTTAGGTCAATAAAACATAACAGAGGGTCTAGAAATATACCCATGCATATATAGGCAACTGATTTTCAGTAAAGTTGCAAAGGCAATTCAGTGGAGAGGAGGTAGTCTTTTCAACAAATGGTACTAAAAAAGTTGGCAATTCATACACAAACAGGTAAACTTCCATCCCTATCTAGTGCCATATAAAAAATAACTCAAAATAGATGAGAGACCTAAATGTACAAATGAAAACCATAAAACTTCTAGAAGAAAACATAAGAGAAAATCTCTGTGACCATGGCTTAGGAGAATATTTCTTAAATATAATACCAAAAGTATGATCTAGAAAATAACTATACGGAAAAGAGTTAATATAGCAAGACTCTATCCTTAGAAAGGATAGACTTTCTTAGACTGCTATCCTTAGAAAGGCCTGCTTGCAGGCATGGCTCATGATTGATGCCTCAGAACTTGGACTTCAAGAGGCTTTCCACCATTCCCAACTGGTAAGAGTAGCCCACTGAGCCTACACTGTTTCTACAAACAATATGATTTATGTTGAACAGACCTGCTTTCCTTCTGGGAGTCTGGAATTATTAGTACATGCTAGGATGAAGGCACCCACATGACCAGCTTCCAATAAAATCGTGAACACTAAGTCTCTAAAGAGTGTCCCTCATTGGCAATACTTTGCACCTGTCGCAATTTGATGCTGCAGGAATTAAGTGCATGCTGAGTGACTTCATGGGGAATGGACTCTTGAAAGCTTATGTCTGGTTCTTCTGTACTTTGGCTACATACCTTTCTCTTTACTTATCTTACTTTGTATTCTTTTACTGTAATAAATTTTGGGCATGAGTATAATTGCATCCTGTGTCCTGTGAGTTCTCCTAGCAAATCACCAAATCTGGGGAGGTCTTGGGAACAAATTTATAAATTGGACTTCATCAGAATTTAACACTTCTACTATTCAGAAGATACTGTTAAAGACAAATCAGAGACAAATATGTATGTATAGCATATATATACATACACATATGTGTGTGTATATATATCTGCACACATATATATTAAAAGCCTATAGCTGATAAAAAAGATTTTACGTAGAATATATAAAGAACTCTTATAACTCAATAGTAAACAAATACATATTTTTTAAATGAGAAAAATATTTGAAAAAATATTTCACCGAAGTAGATATATGGATGTCAAATAAGCAAATGAAAATATGTTAATCATTGCTAATGATTAATGTACTTTAAAAATATAAATATCCTTATTACTATACATATATTAGAATGGAAAAGAAAACTAATCATTCAAAGTGATGGATATTGATACAACCACTTGGAATAACTTGGGCAGTTTCTTTAAAAATTAAACATTCATCTACAATATGATCTATTGATTCCATTCCTATGTATTTTACCCAATAGATAAAAGCATAGGTCCATACAAGAACTTTGTGTGCTTTAAATATGTGCAGTGTTGTACAGCAATTATACCACCATAAAGCTATTTTTAAAAGTACAAACATGGGCCACACAGTGGCTCACACCTGTAATCCCAACACTTTGAGAGGCCAAGGCAGGCAGATCACCTGAGGTCAGGAGCTCGAGACCAGCCTGGCTAATGTGGTGAAACCCCATCCCTATTAAAAATACAAAAAAATTGGCCAGGCGTGGTGGCGGACGCCTGTAATCCCAGCTACTTGGGAGGCTGAGGCGGGAGAATCACTTGAACCTGAGAGGCGGAGGTTTCAATGAGCTGAGGTCACGCCACTGCACTCCAGCCTGAGCAACAGAGCGAGACTGTCTCAAAACAAAACAAAACAAAACAAAAAAAGTACAAACACATATGCAATATAATTGTTCTGACCATAAGACAATTATTAGGTTGGTGAAAATGGAATTATTGCAGTTTTTGCCATTGCTTTCAATGGCAAAAACCACAATTACTTTTGCTCCAACCTAATACGATTTTATTTACAAAATTCAGTATCCATTGCAGACGATACAGCCTCATAATAGGATATAAGCTTTAAAAGTTGCATCCTCTTTATTCTGTACAATGTGTCTCTATAATTATCCTGACACTGGAGATGGCAAAGACTAAATCTGAGCTCTTTCATGAACATGAGGCTGCTGCCTAAGTGGGCTTCCTGGTGAGCCACACAACCCCACCCACGCATCTAGTCTGTGGTAGAGTCTCATGCTCCAGTGTTCTGTCCCCATCTTTTTTCTTTGCTTCAAATTCCTCTGAAGGTCATGCTTAAAAGTCCCACATTTACTGAATTTCTCCTTCATCATAGCTCCATGTGAGACACAGTGAGGGATTCTAGGCTGACTTTCATGGAATCTATCCAATAGCTTGAAATGTAAAGAAGAGAAAGTAGCAAATTGAACAACAACGATAACAAAGTACAAATGAAAACCATGTGTAAAGGACCACGCTCCAGCAGGTAACATTTGTACAGTTACTGATGCTCTTGCTGACACCCTGGGATGATGAATGACCCTCTTGCTTGCCAAATGTTAAAAGTCACAGAAGAGGATAATAAAATACAGTGGGGGGTATGGAGAGTATCAGGATGACCTAAATGACAATGAGCATAAAGAAAAAGCCGATAGTGAGAAGGCTATAATAGGAAAATAATGACACTGGCTTATCTTGCCTTTTCAGAGATTCTTGGAGCACCACTCTTGCTAACATTTTCTGCAATAAAATAGTACTTTTTTCCCTCAGAAAACATATTCAAAATCTGAAATGAAAAATCTGTCAAGCATGTGGTTGTACCATGGAGGGTGTTCTGCTGGGGAATGGAAGGACTGGAATATTGAGACAGGGATGCAATTTCTGGAATCCTGAAGCTTAATTTTTGCTACAGGCTATCCTCTCTTAAAAGGAACTTGGAAAGAAAATAAGCAGAAATTGGCTCTCACATTCCAGAAAAAGACATTTTTCATGAACTTCCAGCTTAATGGAAAACTAAGTGCTTTCAGTTATGACATCAAACTTTTTCAAAGCTTATTCTTATTAACCTTGTAAAAATATCTCTTTGTTTCCTCTCCTTTTTTTCTTCCAGTTTCTGTCTTTTCAATGAAGTATATTCCTCTCCCACCAAGAAATTTCACTCTGGTAGAAGACTCCTGCCACGACCACCAAGCTTTCTCAAAGGTACTCCCCTGGTTCTTAAAGAAACCACAGGCAGAATGAGGGACTCTTATATCTGAAACAGGGGCACAATCCCAGAGAGTGAGCTTAATCAATAATCATGGTCCAATTTATCGATTGTCCATGTGAGATGACATGGGAAAGAAGGTTCCATGTGCCTCTCAGAGGCCTTTTCCCAACCTCCTTCCTGTCTCTGTTCCCATGTGATTCCCACTTTTGAACCCAGCCTTTGGGTGTGTGCCTATGCTCTGGAACCAGTTAGGATTTTACACAGAAGAGATATAAAATGCAACATTAATTGTCTATAAGAACTGGAAATAAAGAGCCTATCAAGAAGGAAATTGTTGAATATGTTATGGAACATCCATGCTATGGGTAACAGGCAACTATTACAATAACGGGGCAGATTTATATTTACAGAGTTGGAAAGTTGTCCATAAGGTATTGTCAAGTAATAAAGCCAAACTGCTTACCACAATGCATAGGTATATAGAAACATCTTTAGACATTTATTTAAAAACTATTGAAAAGGGATAAACCGTATTTGGGGTGGAGGGGAGCAGGAGAATTATACTTTTTACTTTGTGGAATTTTTAAGTATGGGCTTTATGGTTGTTACTACTTCTTTGTCTTTTCCTTATTTGTTTTTTCAATATTCAATTGGTTTTCTCAATTGTAAAAAACCAATAAGTGAAGTTAAAACATACTTTATCTTTTTCTTCATTTATTATTGGACTAATCTAATAAGGATAACATATAGACAGATATCATGTCTGTCTTGGTCACTATTGTATCCCTTATGCCTAGAATAGTACCTGGCATATAGAAAATATTCAGTAGATATTTCTTAAAAAGATGGCATAATTCAATGGATTCAGTTCCATCACTGAATCTAATCCAGTGTCCATGGTAAAACTGGACTCTGCCTTCTTCACCCCCTTGGGCCTGTTCATCATAATTCTGTCCCCACCTTGCTCCCTTGGTCTGCATATTTGTCGTCATTCTTTTCTTGTTGATCCAGTCCTCTAAGCATCATCCTGGACTTGTTCTTTCTGTCTTCCTACCAGGGGATGAAGTCCTCCCTTTTGGTCCTAACTGAGTGCTCACTGCTATCTAGTGAACACTCTTCTGTTTTCTACTGTCCACTTGCACTTGGGATAGAAACAATTCTGAGGTCATCCGTGATGCATTTGTCTCGACTCCCTGCGAGTTCCTTAGACCACACTCAGGACTCTTCTTTGACTGCTTTTTTTCCTTTTGGACACTCTCACCTATCTGTTTGGCTGGACATCTTCCCAGGGTCTGAGGCTGAATCTGTTACCCAAGATCCCCCATCAGAAGTCAGGTCGGGTTCCAAGTCCTGGGCCCTCCTAGTTTACTCCACCCTACTGCAATAAAATAGGTTACCTGTAACTGGGCTGAGAGGTGATACCCCTAAGATGCTTTGTTAACACCCAGAAATAGTCAGCGTCTCTAGTTTCCTCTTATATAATGCAAACACCCCCAGGAAGTAAAATACGTTTTTTAATTTTTTTTTTAATCCAACTTGTTTACCTGAAATGAAAACATACCACCAAATAATAGCCTACAAGGACCTTTGCTGCCTTCTGGCCCTTCCCAGTGGCTCTTCTTTCTCAGAGTTATTTTACCTGTTTGTACATAAATAGAAATCTATGGATGGGACCTTGGTTCTAGTCACCTAAGAGACTCTATAGAGTCAATGAGTTCATCCTAATCTTTTGCAACCTGAATAACCACCGCTATGGAAGTGCATTGTGGAAAAGGGTTGTGGTCCTAGTAAAGATTCTGCGTGTATGTCCCAATATAAAACAGCCAATTACAGGCCAGGCATGGTGGCTCATGCCTGTAAACCCAGAACTTTGGGAGGCCGAGGTGGGCGGGATCATGAGTTCAGGAGATCGAGACCATCCTGGCTAACACGGTGAAACCCCGTCTCTACTAAAAATACAGAAAATTAGCCAGGCGTGGTGGCGGCCCCTGTGGTCCCAGCTACTTGGGAGGCTGAGGCAGGAGAATGGCGTGAACCTGGGAGGCAGAGATTGCAGTGAGCCAAGATCGCGCCACTGCACTCCAGCCTGGGCGACAGAGCAAGACTCCGTCTCAACAACAACAACAACAACAACAACAACAAAACAAAACAAAACAAAAACAGCCAATTACAAAGTCAAGAGAAATCACTTCAGTATGTCTAATTATACTGATGGTTGTTAAGATCTTGCTCTCAACCATTTGATCCAATAAATTTTATATTTAGCAGGTTTTTAAGATCTTGTTCTCTGATCTAATAAATTTTATACTTAGCAGGAGGTAGTTATTTCTTAATAGAAAATTTATACAAAAAAAAGTCAAGGCATGGTATCTGTAAATGCAGTTAGGTTAAATTAAGTGAGAGATTATGTTACAAATAGGTCAGGTACCCAGGAATACCTGAATCTTGCTCTCAGTACATTTTCCTTGTTTAAGGTCCCTAAGAGAAATGTGTGACCAGAAAATGACACAAAGAACACTGGATATTTTTTGGGCCTAGATCTAACCATAATGAGCCAGGCTTTTCAGTGCAGGCCACAGAGGGAAGTGGACACTCTCTGCTTAGGCTAAAGAATCCTACAGAATCTAGAAAGGCTTGTTTAGTATAATTCCACTGCACAGCCCATAGTTGAGTCACAGGCCTCATGACTACAACAAGGGAAAAACACATTAGCCAACAAGAAGCAAAAGACTCAATGGAGACTCAGAGTATCGGCCATAAGCCTTAGCCTTTCTCAAGTAAAGGTGCTTATTTTAATTAGTTATTTTGGAAGAGAGCTCATTCAGAATGAGGCAACAAAGAGAAAACCACAAATGGCTGGGCTTTCCTTAAGAGAAGCAGCAACAGAAAGGCTGTCTTCTCCTGATTATTGGAAGGAATAATGTCCACAGGTGGTCCACTTCAAGAGACCACACAGATCTTCACTTTCTTTGAAAGCTCCACCACTGGGATTATGGCCCAATACAATGTCCTAGAATCTAACCAATCCAGAAAAGCAGCCCGTAAGGATTGAATGAGGCAGGCAATAGTAACTGTAGTTCCCTTGGCCAACTGTGTGCTTTATTTTTTTTCTAGTTGTTCCTACACATAGCTAGTCAAATGAAAGGGGCTAAACACCATAACATGAGAGATACACCACTGCCATATCAATCAACAATTATTGACTTTGTATCTCCTCAACTCATCACCAGTGCATAGAATGCCTATATTCTCAGTGCTGGGCTACTTCTGCTGAAATGACCAAATAGAGAACTTGCAACTCTGACCCCAAATAATATTTTTCATATTTCCTTTCCCTTTGGCAGTAGATACCTAATCACATCCACCAAGAAGGTTGCCTAATTATGAGCCACCATGTTGCAAGGTATTCAAGGTCATGCATTACTTAAAATTTGCATAAAGTAATGAGACATAGGAACTCTAAGAAAAGTTTAGATTTGGGTTTCATTAAGGGTATTTTATTTGCTACATATAAGTTCTAAGAAACTATAAAGACAAAAAAGCTAAAATTGTATGTATTTTTTTTTTATCACAACTGGATAGACCAAAATGCAAATTTGTCTTCTTGCTAGGGTATTTTTTCAAGGAGTAACATTTCCCCAAGCCAAATGCAGGAATGGAACTTACTGAAGGCCATTTAAAACCAAGGAACACTCCAGTGCCTTCAGTACCCTAGCAATGGTCCACAGCAATCCTTGCCTGTAAACTCCGATAATCCTCAGCTGGCCAACTCTATCACACCAATGTTCAAGCCAATCCTACACAATGCTAGCCATGGCTATAGGGAACACTCTTCACCCACAGGAAACTCTAGTATGATGCTACTGTCTTGAGTCAGTCATCAAAAAACCTTATGAACACTCTGGGTGACTCCTCACAAGCCAAGATGTTCTCTACATTCAGAATGATTCACCTCATGTCACTCTTCCTAGCTCTCTTTGCTCTTTGGCCACAGTGAACCTCTAGTTTCTCAAAGAAAACCCCAAGTGCCTTTTTTCCCATACAATGGTATATGTGCAGCCTATCCTGGTTTTCAACAAAGACACTTCCTGGGGCATGTCTTCATTGAATCCCCAGACCACCTTAAGTCCTGCTGTCGCAAGTCACCAAAGCTCATTTCTTCACTGCTATTGTGTACTTTCCATTCAATATTTGACTTCTGCACTAGACCACGGGTTCTATAAAAACCAGGGACCATGCCTGCCTTTATTATTTCTTTACCCAAGGTGCCTAGCACAGGGTCAAGCACACAATATTTGTTTAATAGGTTTTTAAATTTATAAAAGAATTCATAATTAACCAGGAAAATACAGTTCAGTAGAAAGTACATATGAGAGGGTGTGGAAACATGTTTTTGATTTCTGAAGACCTGCATCATGGATGGACAAAGGTCTATCCAATCTTAAGTCAGAAATAAAAAACATCCCATTAGTTGTAAATAACTCTCCAATCCGACCATCTCTGTGCAATTTCTACCTTGGAATCTAGCTAGACTCTGTCAGGTAGATTCAAATCCATAAATGTATGTTATAAAAGAGCAGTGAACATAAAATAAAAAAACTTCAGCTCTCATATCTTAGCAGCATGACCTTGAGGAAGCCATCTGACCCCTCTGAATTTAGTTACCTATAAAAAGATAATAATGATTCCTGAGGTAGCATGAATGAAAGAATTTTCCAAATTAGAAAAGGCTGGGAATTGTTTTAATGCTGAAAACCTATCAGAATTTCAAATAAGAAAGTACACAATGTTAGAATTGGGGAACCTAGATGAGCTCCCCCTGAAACCCAGTGAGCAAATGCCAAGGCCAGAGAGTATGAGCATGCTGCCTGAGAGCTTCCCATCAACCCTGCCTTCCAGGTGGCATTACCACTCCTACCAAAGGTAAGGTGGATGCTGATTTTATTTTTTATTTTTATTTTTTTTTTGAGACGGAGTCTCGCTCTGTCGCCCAGGCTGGAGTGCAGTGGCGGGATCTCGGCTCACTGCAAGCTCCGCCTCCCGGGTTCACGCCATTCTCCTGCCTCAGCCTCCCAAGTAGCTGGGACTACAGGCGCCCGCCACTACGCCCGGCTAATTTTTTGTATTTTTAGTAGAGACGGGGTTTCACCGTTTTAGCCGGGATGGTCTCGATCTCCTGGCCTCGTGATCCGCCCACCTCGGCCTCCCAAAGTGCTGGGATTACAGGCGTGAGCCACCCACCGCGCCCGGCCGATGCTGATTTTATTTAAATACATTCCATTCTATCAGATTGTCACAGGATAAAAATATTTTCCCCTACTCTCCATGAATTTGCTATGAAGTTCAATAGTGTATAAAGGCCACTGAAGCACAAACACAAGCTAAATGAGTCCGAGCTTATGAGGAGGGATAGCCTTGTACTTGTAATTCAACCACTGCCTTCCTAGAGGCTAAACTGACACACTTTAATATTAAGGGGAAAATGGCCCTATGAGGGAAACCTAAAAAGGCAGTTTTAGAGTACGCAGAAATGACCCAGTCCTGATGTACTCCAGGACATCTTACTACCAGTGGGAACCCTTGTAGCAGGACCCCACCCCAGGCTATGGCAGGTGGTACAGTAGAATGAAGAACACTAGATTTTACACTCTGCCAACATGTTTATCACTCATTATCCTCTCTGAGATTTTGAACAGTCACAGGCATGCATAAGAAAAGACACATGTAGGCAAAACAGGAAGGAGTTCCAATCCAGAGAAGGCACCACCGTGGGCCCAAGACAGCGCCACTGGGGGAGTAGCACAGACAGAGCTGGTGGCTGCAGTTGGGTGAGGCTGCTTCCAATCTGGGACTTCGAGGGACTAGGGGACCCTCACGGTGGGAGCAAAAAATCTGGTCAGGTGCTTTCAGCCACCATGGATCACCGGAGATCTAAAGCTGACCCCACAAAGTTGACTTTCCTTGGTAAAAAACTTTTCAGAAACTTGTCACGAAAGAAGAGCTGCTGGTAAAAATTCAGAGGCCACCTCCTGTTAGCTGTTCTCCAGGTGCCGAGTGCAAGCTGAGCCAAGAGACCTGTGGATTCCTCTCATCAAAGTGTCTTGTGACAGGGTGCCCCTAAGCACAGGCTGTCACTGTTGGCTAAATGCCTCCTATATTTCTCACCTCTCTCATGGAATCAGCCCACAAAAATGCCAAAGCCCACTAGAATCTGCTGGTGTCTCTGCCTTTGAAGAGATTAGTGTTTAACCCAGACACTAATGATGTAGCTATTATTAAATACACAAAGTGAATGCAAATGGTGCACATTCATATATGTGTGAGCCACCCCAAGCACCCCAGAGAAATCCATTCTGCTGCCTGTATATTTGGTAGGAAAGAAACATCAGAGGAAGAAGCTGTTTAGCTTTCAGAGGCAAATCTTCTAATGATCATGGGAACTAAAATGTCAGTTTTGAAAAATGGAAATTTTGTTTGAGAAGCTCCTGTGGGGTCCCCTCAGTGTTTTGCCTATGGTTTCAGAAAGGGGGCCTTTATTGACATGCTGCAGAGATTCTAGCAAAATCCAGCCAAGGTCCCCAAGTTTTTATAAATTCCCCTAATGAATCTCTAGGCTAAAGAGAACAGAATTCTATGAAATTCCCAAAGCAGGCTTAGGCCCAAAACATTGACTATCTCTTTAGATATAGAAATAAATCCAAATATCCCCTTGTGCTATACATACTTGTTATTTTTCTAGCTTGCCTAGGAGGATTTATTCTTCTAAATTAGGTGATTTCAGCTTTGGGATACTTGCAAGAAGCTACTTTTGCTTGGCTGCTGCTTCAACCATAAGATGAAAGGAGACAGCCTTCTGAACTGCACACAGAGGCCTGTTTTGCTGTAAAGGTTCTGAGGCCCCATAAAAGGCTTGAATCGCAGATAATAAGAGAAGGTTATAGGTAGGAAAGGGCTGCAAGTTTCAGCACCTTGAACTCCCTTGTTCCAGTTTACTGACATACATCAATGAAAGGCATTTTGTACTCTCCAGCTTCTTGTTTTGATAGTCTCCATATTATTTACCCTGCTTCTATTTTCAATATTCTCCACATTGGTCCCATAATCTCTCTAAAGTTGTACTCACTCACAGAAAAAAAATAAAAGAGAGAGACTAAGGAACCTAACAGATATATGCAGAATATTCACCCAACAGCAGCCAAGGCACATTCTCCTGAAGTGCACATGCAGCACTCTGGATAAGTCACTGTTCTGTGGGTCACAAAACAAGTCTTAGAAAATTTAGGAAGACTGAAACCATACCAATTATCCTTTCTGACTACAATTGAATGAAACTGGGAATCAATAGCAGAAGGAAAGCTGGAAAATTCACAAATACGTACAAAATAAACACACTCTTGAACAATCAATATGTCAAAAAAAAGGGAAATTAGAAAGTATCTTGAGACAAATGAAAACAAAAACACAACATATCAAACCTTGTGAAATTAGGCAAACACAGTACTAAGAGGAAAGTTTATAGAGGTAAATATGTACATTAAAAAAGGAGCTCTCAAGCCAACAACCTAACTTTACACCTCAAGGAACTAGAAAATGAGGAACAAACTAAACCCAAAGTTAGCAGAAGGAGGGAAGTAAGAAAGATTAGCACAGAAATAAATGAAATAAAGAATATATAAATGGAAAAATTCAATGAAATGAAATTCAAATCCAATAAATGGAAAAAATTCAATGAAACTAAGATATATATATATATATATATATATATATATATATATATATATATATATATACTTTAAGTTTTGGGATACATGTGCAGAAAGTGCAGGTTTGTTACATAGGTATATGCTTGCCATGGTGGTTTGCTGCACCCATCAACCCATCATCTACATTAGGTATTTCTCCTAATGCTATTGCTTTCCTAGCCTCCTACCCTCCAACATGCCTGGTGTGTGATGTTCCACTCCCTTGTCCATCTGTTCTCATTTTTCAACTCCCACTTATGAATGAGAACATGTGGTGTTTGGTTTTCTGTTCCTGTGTTAGTTTGCTGAGAATGATGGTTTCCAGCTTCACTTATGTCCCTCCAAAGGACATGAACTCATCCTTTTCTATGGCTGCATAGTATTCCATGGTGTATATGTGCCACATTTTCTACTTTTTTTTTAGTTTTTATAATTTATTCTATTTATTTTTTATTTTTTTAAATTTTTTTTTGTGATCTTTCAAGCCTGCTTTTTCTTTTTTTCTTTTTTTTTAAATTTTATTATTATTACACTTTAAGTTTTCAGGTATGTGTGCACAACATGCAGGTTTGTTACATATGTATGCATGTGCCATGTTGGTGTGCTGTACCCATTAACTCGTCATTTAGCATTAGGTATTTCTCCTAATGTTATCCCTTCCCTGGCCCCCCCACCCCCAACAGGCCCCTGTGTGTGATGTTCCCCCCCCGTGTCCATGTGTTCTCATTGTTCAACTCCCACCTATGAGTAAGAACATGCGGTGTTTGGTTTTCTGTCCTTGTGATAATTTGCTTAGAATGATGGTTTCCAGCTTCATCTATGTCCCTGCAAAGGACATGAACTGATCCTTTTTTATGGCTGCATAGTATTCCATGGTGTATATGTGCCATATTTTCTTTGTCCAGCCTATCATTGATGGGCATTTGGGTTGGTTCCAAGTCTTTGCTATTGTGAATAGTGCTGCAATAAACATACGTGTGCATGTGTCTTTATAGTAGAATGAATTATAATCCTTTGGATATATACCCAGTAATGGGATTGCTGGGTCAAATGGTATTTCTAGTTCTAAATCCTTGAGGAATTGCCACTCTGTCTTCCACAATGGTTGAACTAATTTACACTCCCACCAACAGTGTAAAATCGTTCCTATTTCTCCACATCCTCTCCAGCATCTGTTGTTTCCTGACTTTTTAATGAGCACTATTCTAACTGGCATGAGATGGTATCTCATTGTGGTTTTGATTTGCATTTCTCTAATGACCAGTGATGATAAGCTTTTTTTTGTTATGTTTATTGGCCTCATAAATGTCTTCTTTTGAGAGGTGTCTGTTCATATCCTTTGCCCACTTTTTGATGTTGTTATTTTTATTTTCTTGTAAATTTGTTTAAGTTCCTTATAGATTCTGGATATTAGCCCTTTGTCAGATGGATAGATTTCAAAAATGTTCTCCCACTCTGTAGGTTACCTGTTAACTCTGATGATAGTTTCTTTTGCTGTGCAGAAGCTCTTTAGTTTAATAAGATCCCATTTGTCAGTTTTGGCTTTTGTTGCCATTGCTTTTGGTGTTTCAGTCATGAAGTGTTTGACCGTGGCTATGTCCTGAATGGTATTGCCTGGGTTTTCTTCTAGGGTTTTTATGGTTTTAGGTCTTACACTTAAGTCTTTAATCCATCTCGAGTTAATTTTTGTATAAGGTGTAAGGAAGGGGTCTAGTTTTAGTTTTCTGCATATGACTAGCCAGTTTTCCCAACACCATTTATTAAATAGGGAATCCTTTCTCCATTGCTCGTTCTTGTCAGATTTGCCAAAAATCAGGTTGTTGTAGACATGTGGCATTATTTCTGAGGCCTCTGTTCTGGTCCATTGGTCTATATACCTGTTTTGGTACCAGTACCATGTTGTTTTCGTTACTGTAGCCCTGTAGTATAGTTTGAAATCAGGTAGCATGATGCCTCCAGCTTTGTCCTTTTTGCTTAGGATTGTCTTGGCTATACGGGCTCTTTTTTGGTTCCATATGAAATTTAAAGTAATTTTTTCTAATTCTGTGAAGAAAGTCAATGGTAGCTTCATGGGGATAGCATTGAATCTATAAATTACTCTGTGCAGTATGGCCATTTTCACAATATTGATTCTTTCTATCCATGAGCATGGAATGTTTTTCCATTTGTTTGTGTTCTCTCTTATTTCCTTCAGCAGTGGTTTGTAGTTCTCCTTGAAGAGGTCCTTCACGTATGCTGTAAGTTGTATTCCTAGGTATTTTATTCTGTTTGTAGCAATTGTGAATGGGAGTTCACTCATGATTTGACTCTCTGTTTGTCTATTATTGGTGTATAGGAATGCTTGTGGTTTTTGCACATTGATTTTGTATCCTGAGACTTTGCTGAAGTTGTTTATCAGCTTAAGGAGTTTTGGGGCTGAGATGATGGGGTTTTCTAAATATACAATTATATCATCTTCAAACGGAGATAATTTGACTTCCTCTTTTCCTTTTTGAATGCCTTTATTTCTTTCTCTTGCCTGATTGCCCTGGCCAGAACTTCCAATACTGTGTTGAATAGGAGTGGTGAGAGAGGGCATCCTTGTCTTGTGCCACTTTTCAAAGGGAATGTTTTTGACAAAATTCAACCACCATGATAAAAGCACTCAAAAAACAAGAATAGAAGATTATCTTAACATAATAAAGGCTACATAGGAAAAGCCTACAACCAACATCATACTTAAAAATGAAAAACTGAAAATTTCCTCTCAGGTCAGGAACAAGGCAAGAATGTGCAGTTTCACCATTTTTGTTCAACATAATACTGGAAGTTCTAGCCACAACAATTAGATAAGATAAAGAAATAGAAGGTAACCCAATTAGAATGAAAGAAATAAAATTATCTCTGTTCTCAGATAATGTGATCCTATGTGTAGAAAACCCTGAAGACCACACATACACAAACACACACACACACACACAACAGACAACTGCTAGAACTAACAAATTCAGAAAAGTTGCACAACAAAATCAACATACAAACCAGTTGTGTTTCTAAACACTAACAAAAAAATTCTGAAAAAGAAAATAAGAAAACAATTCTATTTATGATAGCATCAATAAGAATAAGATATTTGAGAATAAATTTAAGGAAGTGAAAGACTTGTATACTGAAAACTACAAAACATTGCTGAAATGAAGTCACAGATAAATGGAAAGACATTCATGTTCATGGATTAAAAGACATAGTATTTCCAAAATTGTTATACTATTCCAGAGCAATCTACAAATTCAGTACAATCCCTATCAAAATCCTAATGTCATTTTTTTTGCAGAAGTAGAAAAACAATTCTAAATTTCATATGGAACCACAAAGGAACTTAAATAGCCAAAACATTTCTGAGAAAGAGGAATAAACCTCTAGGCCTCAAATTTCCTGGCTTTAGAATATATTATAATGCTACCATAATCAAAATAGCATAAAGACAGACATATAAGCCAGTGGAACAGAATAGAAAACCCAGGGATTAACCCATTTATATATGATCAAAGAATCTTTGGAAAAGATACCAAGACCACACAGAGGTAAAAGGATAGTCCATTCAACAAATGGTGTTGGGAAAACTGGTTATTAACAAGAAAAAGTTTAAAACTGGACCCTTCTTTACACCATGCAGAAAAACAACTCAAAATGGATTAAGATGTAACACCTGAAACATAAAATTCCTAAAAAAAATTTAAAATGGAGGAAAGCTTAATAATATTGATCTTGGCAATGATTTACTGAATTTGACACCAAAAGCACAGGCAACAGAAAAAAAAATAGACAAGTAGGACTACATTACTCTGTAAGATTTCTGTGCAGCAAAGAAACTATTAACAGATTGAAAAGGCAAGCTACAGAATGGAAGAAAATAAAATCAAAAAACACAAACAAAACACCTTGATTTTAAAAATGGGCAAAGGACTTGAATAGACATTTTTCCAAAGAAGACTTACATGTGGGAGCAGGCATCACTAAGCATCAAGAAAATGCAAATCAAAATTAGACATTATCACCTCATACCTGTTAGGATGACCATCAGCAAAAAGCAAAAAGAGAGAGAGAGAATAAAATAGCAAGTGTTCACAAGAATGTGGAGAAACTGAAACCATTGCTGGTAGAAATGCAAAATGGTGCAGCTGCTGTGAAAAACAATATGGAGATTTCACAAAAAAAATAAAAATAGAACTGCCGTATGATCCAGCAATTCCACTTCTGGGTATTTATTCAAAAGAACTGAAATCGAGATCTCAAGGAGATATTTGCACTCCCATGTTCATTGCAACATTATTTATAATAGCCAGGGGAAACAACCTAAATGTCCATTGATGGATGACTCAGTAAAGAAAGTGTGGTAAGATGGAATTCTATACAGAGTTAAAAAAATAAGAAAATCCTGCCATACGCAGCAACATGGATATTCCATGAGTAAAAGAAGCCAGTCTCAGAAGGAAAATATTGCATGCTATACAATGTGCATATAGTTAAGAATACTGTACTGTACACTTAAAGTTTTAAGAGGGCAAATTTTATGTGATGTGTTTTTTATCAGAATAGATTTTTAAAAGAGATGCCAGAAGGCCACTGTTCAGTCTGGCATCCAGTGGGAAATACAAGACTCCCAGCCTTTACTGGCAATCAGGCTTGGTTAACTGAACAGCATTTAGAGAGTATAACAATTGTCCTGCTTTCCCAGCCCCACTCAATCAAAATGTTTGGTGTCTCCAATCATGCACTTGGCCCCACCCAGTGTCTGAGCCATTTGCAATCAGGGTAGAGGATCTTAGCCTCTCTCATGCTCAGGAGACTGGTGTTGCTGCCTGAGTTTCCTGTCTATAATGTCTGGCATGAGATCAAGGTACCTCTTTGTCCACTTACCTTAATCAACCTCTCCCACACTGTATTTCCTGACTAATCCTCCACTGATTAAGATGCTAAAAGATACACTTGGATTTCTGATTTCAAAATTCATGATTCAACAGACACGAAAGGCTGCTCTGCCTTGCATGAAAATAATAGGAAAATTAACTGAAGCAGAGCCACACAGAACATAACTAACAAACAACCATAAAGGAGCAAAGGGAAAGTCTTGGTGGATGAAAAAGTGAAGAATCATAGAAAAGAAAACGTCAACTGATTTGAAGAGAAAAGGAAAGATACAGCCCAGCATGACTGGCAGGACGTTTAGGAAAGTTGAATCACAAAAGTGAGAGCAGTACTGAGGGTCCTAACTTTCCAAAATGCCCCATACCCAGAGATGGAAACCAGTGAGGCACACAGAGCAGCATGGTAAGTGGAAGTGTTATCAGGCATGGTTCAGTCCTGTGCATCTCCTTTTCCTTCCTCCATTCTCCACAGGGGGTCTATTTCTGGGCTTGGGGACCCTGCTTTGAGGGTAGAGGGCAGACAAGCAGAATCCTGGAGAACTGCGGACACCTATAAGGACCAGAGCAAAAACCCATCTATATCAGTGCCAAAGATCTGGGGGGCTTTGTTTTGTTTTGTTTTGATTTTAGAGACAAAGTCATGCTCTGTCACCAAGGCTAGAGTACAGTGGCAAGATCATAGCTCACGGCAGCCTCACCCTTCTGGGCTTAAGTAATCCTCCCACCCCAGCCTCTCCAGTGTAGCTAGGACTTACAGATACGCACCACCACATATGGCTATTTTTATTATTATTATTTTTTTTTTATAGAGACAGGGTCTTACTATGTGGTCCAAGCCAGTCTCAAACTCCAGGTCTCAAGTGATCCTCTCACCTTGGCCTCCCAAAATATCAGGATTACAGTCATAAGCCACCATGCCCACCCCAAAGAATATTTTTAAATTCGCGTTGCTTGAGCACTGCGGTGTCCTTTCAGTTTGACAATCCATGCTATTTTACTACTCTCTTTTACAATGTTCTCCTCGCTCCTTCCTTTTCCTCTGGATTCATCTTCTATGTCTCGGCCTCTATTTCATTCTTTTTTTTTCTTCTCTTCCAAACTGCTGCCTCCTGAGAGAATTTTTCTATCTAATCTAGCTCATTCATTTGTTGTCAGCTATGCCCAATTTGCTATTCTGCCCACATTTTTTGTTTTTCTTTTTGACCTAAATTTTATTTTAGCTCTCAAGAATGAGTTTCTTTTCATAAATGCCTATGAGGATTTTGCTAATATAAAGGAAGGAGAGGATAGTCTTGTAATAAGCGAATGTGTCTGCCATGGCATGTAGCAAATATGCAGCTTTATATCCTGCTTTGTTTTAATCCACATCACCCATAAATATTCTACAAAAATATGTACTTTAATGTTTAAATAATATTACTTTTCTCAATTGTACAATAATTATTAAACCATTCTTCCAATGTTGGATATTCAGTTTGTTTAAATTTTTCATTATTATGGTGGGCCAGGTAATGAGCACACTAACATAAAATTACTTGTACATTTATCTGATAATGTCCTTAGAAAACATGCTTAAAATAGAAATTAATGTGTAGGGGCAGATGCTAACATATTTGTTTCCAGAAATATTGTTATCAGTTACACTCCCACCAGACAAAGTGTCCAGTTCAGCCTGCCCTTGTCAATACCGAATACTATATATTTTTAATATTTTCAAATTTTGAGAAGTGAAAATATTGTCTGACTTTAATATATCTTTTATAATTACTAGAGAGTTTGAACTTTTTCTACATAGTTCTTGACTATATGTATTTCACATTAGATAAATGTTAACATATCATCGTCCCACATTTCTATAGTTGGTAGCTATTCCTGTTATGAGATTTTTATATATTGAATATTTCAAGACTTTATCATAATTTTAACAAAAAAAATGCCAGGCTTTGATTATTATTTCATTTTCCAGTGATTTCTAATAAACAGAAGATACTTAGTTTTTGTTTTTGTTTTATTATTCACTTATGTTTACCTTCATGTTAAGTTTATTCCTTTAAGAGTTCTCTTCTGTTTGTGAGTTTTCAGTAGCCTAGTTAGTATATGGTCAATTGTTTACAACTGATCTGTATATGTTTGAAATAAGTCATATTCTTTTATGAAAAGTGCAATGTAGTTATTCATTTTACTCTTTATAGCTATTTACTTGATCATACACAGAGAGCTGATAATTCACTACACTTGTACACATGTCACATTATCCTTCTACTTGCTTTATATGATGGTGTGATGTTTGATACATACAAATTAAGAACTGCTTATACTTTGTCATAAATTATAACTGTGATCATTGTGAAAATATGCATATTTTCCCATTTAAAGTCTCTTCAGTTTTTTCTGTGTTGATTTAATTTGTAAATCTTTATTTATCTTTTCTTTTACTATTTCAATATTGTAGAATTCAAAGTAACAAACCTTGATTATTGCTTTAATCACATTATAGAATTTGAGTTTTTAATGGGTGAGAGGGTTAATCCCTTGATATCTGTTATAGTAACAGATAAGTACATTCCTATTTTCACGATTTTGTTTTATGCACTATGCTAAGTTGTTTTTGCCATTTCTATCATGCTTTGTCTTTTGTTTGATAGACTTTTGCTTTTACATTCCATAGTGTTGGAATGTAGAAATCATGTTTTTAACTCATTAATATTAAGAATTGTATAAATACATAATTAAGCTTGCATTTGGTAATAAAGAACAAATAACAACTTCCAAATTTTTATAGGCATAACAAGAATTTTTGTGCACACATTTTATCTTTCATTCCATCCATTTCCACAAGTGGATAATTTTCTCCTGAATGATGTAGTGAGCTGACATTCAGCCCTCAGGCTCCTCTAATCTGGAATGATCTAATCATTCAATTTCCATGACTTATACTGGCTGTAAATACCATTGGCTATAGACGTAGATTATTAGTATACAATCATTATATTTAGAATAAAAATCATCTTGTTAAACAATAGTTTGGGCTTTTATAATGTAGATTTGTAACCATGCTTTCAAAAAAAATCCCTTATACATAGAACATATAATTTATGTTGTTCTTTTATGTTGTCCTTCAGCCCTCTCACGCAAAAACTCAAGACTGGAAAAGTTGGATTACACCTTTAAATCGCTTGTTTGTTTTAGGACAGTTTAATAGCAGTTAGCTATCTTCTAAGATGAAGGAGAATATCTTATTGTTGTCTTTTGACATGAGGAACAACTTGACTTGGCAAGGAATTCTTTTCTTTTTGTGTTTAAAGTACAAAATATTTGAGAAGACAAGTGTTTAAGAGAAAAATAAGCCTGATTATAGTTCACTTTACAAAACTGATTTATTTTGCCATTATGTGTTTCTTCTTTCCTCTTAAAATAAAAAGCCTTGACAGAACCTGACTAGTAGTTGGTCTCTTTCATTAATTTTATCCACTGCTCAATAAATTCACTCGAATTATAGAGTCAAACTGTCTTTCAGTTCAAGGACAACTTCTATGTTACCATTGATAATTGTTTCTATTCAGAGAATTCAGGTTTATTCTTTTAGAACAACTGAAAGCTTAGGTTGGATCTTCAATACCTGTCCTCCTTACCTATCATTCTCTTTATCTTTTTGTCTTTTCCTCTTCATTCTGGGACAGATTTATTTTAGTTTGTAATTTATATTACTGAATTTATTTTGTACTATGTCAATTCAGCACTCTAAGGATTTTATATCTACTTATTTTCTACTGTTGCATTTTGGGTTATCTTGAACTACTTTTTATTTAACCAAGTTTCCTTTACATCTACACCTTAACATTAGCCTTTTATCACATTATGATTTCCTGTATTTCTATTAAAGACCAGTCTCTTGAAACTTTTTGAAAACACTAAGATATGTTTCTAATAATTCTTTCTTTGTTGTGAAAAAGAAATGTCACTTTTAGAGATACTGTCTTTCTTTGAATCTATAGGGTCATAGTCTTCTTAAAGTATATTCAATATATTTTTAGAGCCTATCATGATTTTTTCCATTTTATTGATGTATCATGTACATATAACGAAATTCATTCATTTTAAATGTGCAATATGGCAGCAAAAGAAATTCTCAACAGAGTGAAACAGACAACCTACAGAATGGGAGAAAATATTTGCAAACTATGTGTTCAACAAAGGGCTAATATCCAGAATCTTTATAGAACTTAACTAAATCAACAAGAGAAAAACAAATAACCCCATTAAAAAGTGAACAAAGTACATGAACAGACACTTCTCAAAAGAAGACATATAAGCGGCCAACAAAGATATGAAATCAATCCTCAACACTGCTAATCATCAGAGAGATACAAATCAAAATCACAGTGAGATACTATCTCACACCAGTCAGAATGGTTATTATCAAAAAGGAAAAAAAACAGCAAATGCTAGCAAGGCTGTGGAGAAAAGGAAACACACACTGTTGGTGGGAATGTAAAATATTTCAGCCTCCGTGGAAAGCCTTTTGGAGACTTCTCAAAGAACTTAGAAATAACATTTGACCCAGCAATCCCATTACTATGTCCAAAAGAAAATAAAATGTTCTTCCAAAAAGACCCATGTGCTCACATATTCATCACAGCACTGTCCCCAGTAGCAAAGACATGGAATCAACCTAAGTATCCATCAGTAGTGGATGGATTTTAAAAATGTGGTACACATACACCGTGGAATACTATGCAGCTGTAAAAAAGAATGAAATCATGTCCTTTACAGCTATATGGATGCAGCTGGAGAACATTATCCTAAGCGAACTAATGCAGAAATAGAAAACCAAATACCACATTTCCTCATGTATAAGCGTGAGCTAAATCTTGGGTTCACATGGACGTAAAGATAGAAACAGTAAACACTGGGGACTCCTAAAGGAGGGAGGGAGAGAGGGGATAAAGGGCTGAGAAGCTTCCTATTGGGCACTGTGTTCGCTATCTGGGTGACAGGATCAATAAAAGCCCAAACCTCAACACCACACAATATACTCTTGTAACAAACCTGCACATGTACCCCCCTGAGTCTAAAAATGGAGATTAAAAAACAAATAAAAATATGCAATATGATAAATTTCGGTCATTGTACACAAGCGTCTTCCACCACAATCGAGATATAAAACATTTGTACCATCCTACAATGTTTTCTCCTGCTCCTTATTTTCTACCGCTTTTGCCAACCTTTGCCCCCAGGAAACCACTGGTTTGATTTCTGTGCGTATAGTTTTGCCTTTTCTGGAACTTCATGTAATTGGAATAACACAGTATATGGTTTTTGTATGTGTTTGACTTGTAACACTCAGCATAATGTTTTGGGGAGCTGTTCCATTTTCTTTTGTGCATTAATATTATATGTCTTCTTATTGTTGAGTAGTAGTCTGTAATTCTACATTTTCTTTATCCATTCACAAGCTGATAAATCGTTGAGTTTCAAATTTTAAGCTATTATGAATTATACTGCTATGAACATTCACACACACACACACACATCTTTGTATAGCTATGTTTTCATTTCTGTTCAGTAGATACCTAAGAGTGGGGTTTCTGTGTCATAGGGTAAGTGTACTTTTAGCTTTATAGAATACCTACTGCCATACTATTATCTGAAGTGGCTGTATTTTTGCAATACTACCAGCTAAGTATGAAAGTTCCAATTGCCCCACATCCTTGCCAACATTTGGTATGACAGTCTTTTAAATTTTAGCTATTATAGTAGGTTCATAGTGGTATCTCATTGTAATTTTAATATGTGTTTCCCTAAGACTAGGGAAGCTGACCATCTTTTCAAGTATTAATTAGCCATTGGTATATCTTCTTTTCTACAGTTTCTGTTGGTCTTTTAATCATTGAGTAGGAGAGTTCTTTCTATATTCTTGATAAATAGCCAAAAATTGTTTTGTGACTATTTTCTCATAGTCTATAGCTTGCCTTTTCATTTTCTTAATTGTGTCTTTCAAAGAGGGAAAGTAATTTTGATAAAGTCAATTACAACATTTTTATGCCTTTATGTTTTTGTGAGTTTTCTAAAAAGCGTTAACTCAAAGTCACAAAGATTTTCTCCTATTGTTTGTTCTACAGGCTTTGAAGTTTGGCTCTTATATTTAGGTCTATGATCTATTTCAAGATAGTATTTTGAATGTTGTAAGGTAAAGGTCAAGTTTTGTTTTCTCTATGTAGATATTTAGCTATTCCTAAACCTTTCTTGCATAGGTATCTTTTCTTCACTACATTACCTTAACATTTTAATGCAAATCAATAAGCTATATAATTGTGGTTTTTTTTTCTGGTCTCTCTATTATGTCCCATTGATTAATATGTCTATTTTTACCCCACTGCCACACTCCTGTGATTACTGTACCTTTAGGGTAAATCTTCATATCAGGTAGATAAATCCTCCAATCTATTTCTTGTTTTCCAACACTGTTTAACCTATTCTAGGTTATTTGGTTCTCCAGTAAAATTTTAAAATACGTTTATCAATTTCTACAAAAGAGGCTGCTAGACTTTTAATGAAAATTGCATTGAATTACAGATCAATTAGGACTGAATTCCCATTTAAATCATACTGACTCTTCCAGTCCATAAACATGCTATACCATTCCCTTTATTTACACTTTCTTTACATTTATTTTATATTTGGAAGTAAGTCTTGAATTTTTTTTATTAAATTTGTTCCTAAGTATATTATTGGATGTTATTGTAGATTGAACTTTTTAAATTTTATATTTGAATTGTTCATCACTTGTATAAATACAATTGAATTTTGTGTCTTCAATTTTGATAAACTCACTTTTTTCATTCCAATCACTATTTATAAATATCGTAGGGTTTTCAATGTACATATACATGCAGTCTGCAAATAAAGACAGTTTCACTTTTTTCTTTCCAGTGCTATCCATTTTATTTCCTTTTTTTCCTTCTTGCTCTGGCTAGAACTTCCAGGATCATGTTGAATAGGAGGAGCAGCGACAACAGACTTCCTTGTCTTATTCTTGACTTTAGGTAGAAAGCAGTGAATCTTTATCATTGCATACAGTGTTACCTGTAGTTTATTTATATATGGGCTTACTCAGGCTGAGAAAATTTTCTTCTACTGCTGGTTTGCTGAGGGCTTTTATCTAACTGGATATTATTTTTTGCGTTTACTGAAATACGTTAATTGCTCTCCCTTAGTTTATCAATGGATAAATTACATTGGTTAATTTTTTTTTTTTTTTTTTTGGCAGTGGGTAGAGTCTTGCTCTGTCACCCAGGGTGGAGTGCAGTGGCACAATCTTGGCTCACTGCAAACTCCACCCCCCGGGTTCAAGCTGTTCTCCTGCCTCAGCCTCCTCAGTAGCTGGGATTACAGTTACCCGCCACCATACCCAGCTAATTTTTTTATTTTTAGTAGAGATGGTGTTTCACCACGTTGGCCAGGCTGGTCTCAGACTCCTGACCTCAAGTGATCTGCCTGCCTCGGCTTCCCAAAGTGCTAGGATTACAGGCTCACGATGGTAAACCAATCTTGAATTATCAGGATGTACACAACTTGCTCATGATGTGTTATTATCCTTACATTTTTTGTTGATTCACTAAAATATTCTGAGGCTTTTAAAATGTATATTGATAAAAGATATTGATATAAATTTATTTTTATAATGTCTTCTTTTGGTTTTGATAAAAAGGGGAATACTGGCCTCATGAAATGATTTGGAAGTATTCCCTCTTCTATGGATTTTCTGAAAGGGCATTTTTCAGTATTCAGTACTATTTCTTCTAAAAATGTTTTATAGAATTAACCAATGAAATTGTATGAGTCTGAAGTTTTTTTGTAGCAATGTTTTTAACTATTACTTCAACTTACTTACTTCATTGATATAGGCTCTTGAAATTTCCTGTTTCTTCTTGGGTGAGTTTTGGTAATATGCCTTTCAAGGAATTTTTTCATTTCCTCAAGGTTGTAAAATTTATTTACATAATTTTATTCACAGTATTTCCTTTAAATGTTTATGGAATCTGTGGGGATATCTCTGCTTTCATTATTAATATTGTTAATTTGGGCCTTCTTTTATATTCTCATTTTAGTCTAGCTAAAAATATATCAATTTTATTGATATTTTTATATTTTATAGAAGTATTCAAATATTTGGAGTTTTTAAAATTATCTTATTGTTAAAACCATGTGGTTAGGGAACATCTTCTGTTTTGGTTTTATTTTATAAAATTTATAAAGTCTTCCTCATGAACAGTGTACAGTATATCCTGGTACACTTACCATATGGAACTTGTGTTAGGGTTCTCCGGAGAAACAGAACCAATAGAATATGTATGCATATGGTATATACAAAGAGTTATTTTAAGGAATTGGCGCACATGATTGTGGAGGTCCAATAGGACTAAAATCCACAAGGTAGGCCAACAGGGAAGAGTTGCAGTACGTAGGCCCAGGGAAGAGTTGCAGTTTGAGTCCAAAGACAGTCTGCTCTCAGAATTCCTTCTTACTCAGGGGAGGGCAGTTTTTGTTTATTAAAAGCTTCAACTGATTAGATAGGGCTCAACCACATGGAAGTAATCTACTTTACCCAAAGTCCACTGATGCACATGTTAATCTTATCCAAAAATACATCTTCCCAGAAACATCTAGAAGAAGATTTGACCAAGTATCTGAGCACCATGGCCCAGATACATTGATCTATTAAATTTACCATCACAGACCGGTTAAGAATATGTACTCTGCCATTTGGGGGTATCATGTTTTATAAATAATTAAGTCAAGGTTTTTCATAGTTTAGCTCTTTTCATGACTTTACTGATTATTTTAGTAGTTTCATTGCTATTTATTTTATTTTAGTAGTTTCTTTTAGTAGTTTCACATATGAGTGTGAAAGTTTTGTCTCATATATTTTGAAGCTATTATTAGTTGCCTGCAAGTTTATAATTATTATGTCTTCCTGAAGAACTGACCCATTATCATTATATATTTTTCCTCTTTCTCTCTAGCAATATTTTCATGTTGAAATCTATTTTATCTAATATAAATATAGCCATTCCAGTCTTTAAATGCTTATTGCTTTCATGATGTATCTTTTCCTATTCATCTACTTTAAATTTACCTGTAATTCATATGTAAAATCAATCATTTCTAGACCACATATAGTGAAGTATTGGTTTTTTATCTACTCTGATGATCTCTGCCTCTTAAGTGGAGTGTTTAATATATTAATGTTTGTCATAATTATTGATATATTTGAGTGTAGATCTATCATCTTATTTTTTGTTTTCTATTTATCTCCTCTGTTTCTGGTTTCTCTTTCCTCCTTCCCTATCCTTTTAATTTGGGCTATTTAAATATTTTTTATAATTCCATTTTACTTTTCTTGTTAGCTTTTCAGTTTTTTTTTTTTTGCATTAACATTTAGTATTTCTTCTAGGGATTATAATTTACTACATTAATATTTTGTAGTCTATTTACAGTTAATACATTATTCCTCTACATAAAATATTTTTTATGTGTAATGTATATTCTATTCTTTAGGCTAGATTGTCGTGTGTGTGGCATGTGGATATATTATAAATGCCACAAGAGTTTATCTATATAATTTTTATGTTAAGCAGTTACATTCATTTTAAAGAATCTCAGAGGAAAACACCTTAAAATAAATTAGTCTTTTGGATTTTCTCAGTAGCTATTATTTATAATACTCTTCTTTTCTTTCTGGGGATCCAGTTTTCATCTTGTATAATTTTCCCTCACACTGAAAATCTTCCTTTAGTATATCTTGTAGTGTGGATCTACTAGGAACAAATACTCTTAGTTTTCTTTTCCTGAAAATATCTTTATGTTGACTTCAATATTGAACAATATAATCATTGGACGTAGCATTCTGGGTTGACAACTTATTATATTATTTCAGCATTTTAAACATATTGTTATGTTCTCTTCTGGCTTCCATGGTTTCTGAGGTAAAGTTAGCCATTAATTAAATTATCTGTTCCCTACATGGCATATGTTTTTTATTTCCCCTGTTTCTGCTCTCAGGATCTGCTCTTTAACTTTGTCTTGTGAATCATTTATTATGATATGTCTGAGTGTGGGATTATTTGTTTTCATTCTCATTGGTATTTCCTGATAATTGTGTATCTGCAAATGTCTTTCATCAAATTTGACTATTTCATATCTACTACTGTATCAAAAATTGTTCTACCCTATTCGCTATCTCTCTGTGACTCAAATTACCTAATACAGTTAATTGGTCATTTAATATTACCTCATAGATCTTTGAGGTAATATTATTTATCTTTTAAACTTTCTTCTCTCTGTTCTTCACATTTGGTTACTTCCACTGAGTAAGTTCCAAAGTTACTTACTCTTTCTTCTACTACATTTATTTGGCTGTTAGGTTCATTTGTGAATTTTTTATTTCCAATACTGAATTTTTCAGTTCTAGAATGTCTATTTGGTTCTTTTTACTACTTCTATTTCTCTTCCAAGATTCTAATTTTTTCATTCATGATGAGCATATTATTTTGTTTTGCTTTGGCCACTATAGATATAACAGTCACTTTAAAACCTTGAAAGTAGTTCTAGCATCTGGAACACCTCAAGAGTGTTCTTTATATATTTATTTTCTTGAGTAGGAGTTGGCAAGCTTTTTCTATGAAGGACCAGACAGTAAATATTTTAGACTTTGTAGGACAGATATGGTTGCTGTCATATACTCTTTTTGGTTGGTGGTGCCTTGTTTTGTTTTGTTTTCTTTTACTATGCTGTAAAAGTTAAGGGAAAAAAGCCTTATATGAGAAGTCATACAAAAACAGTCTGTGGGATAAATTTGGCCAGAGATCAGAGTTCGCCAACACCTGCTATTGAGAATGTGTTTCTTTCTTCTGGTTCTTATGTTGGGTATTTGGATTGTATCCTGGGCTTTGTGAATGTTTAGTTGTGGAGATTCTGGATTCCTTTATTTTTCCCTGATGAGTGCTGTTTCTTTGTTTTAGTAAGCAATAATCTTGAACTGCAAACTCTGTTTCTTGTACAACAGCTCCAGTCTTAGTTCAGATCATTTGTCTTCCCCTGAGCCACTTTGAGTCTATTAGACAGGATTTGGGAAACACCTAACTGAATTTTTGAATCTCCAAGATTCTCCTGCTCTCTTCAGTGGCCAGATTCTGTGGCTTAAGTTTTTTCATCCACCAGGCTAAAATACGACAATTTTTTTTTCTCTGTCAACCCTACCCCTACAGCTTCTGAGTCTTGCCAGATGTATTCGGCCCCAAGCTAAAAACCATGAAAATAGGAACTTGCTTCACGTAACTCACCTTCTCCTAGAGTATACTCCCTACCAACTGGTCTACCTATGTTCACTGTCTGGGGCCTCAGGCAGCTTTTATTTGAATTATATACATTCCTTATAGTTATTTTCTGTGAGGGATTCACTCCAGTAGGCTTTTTAAAGATCGTAATGATCTTTTAAAGATCTTTTACCACCAGCAGATATCCACCTATTCTCCCCATCATGACTACTTTTTCCATTAACTTTTGAATGGGGAGAGATCTATCTAGAGCTGGCATTTGCTAAATAGTTAACCTAATGTTCCCAGACATTGCTCACTATTTATTTAGGTTTTGGAAGCATTTTCCTCTCATCTCCAGTTAAAGAATATGTTGAAGCACGCAGCCCCTGGCTCAATTTCAATGCTACTACCCATTGATCCAAGGTCTCCTGCTTCAAATATCAGGTTTAGTATTCATGCTAATGCATCAGCTAGTGTGTACATATTGTAGTCATTAAAATGCTGCTGCTTCCTGCAGCATTTTATGGTTTTGTTCTTGTTCATATTTTCCCATTTACTGTAAAACCACAATGCAATGTTGTTTTAAAACCCTTACATTTATTGCCATATTGGATCCTAAAAATTTTGATTCCTGATAGATACAGTTAGAGAGCTACTGAGGAGGCTGAGGTGGGAGGATTGCTTGGGTCTGGGAGGTTGAGGCTACAGTGAGCCATGATCATGCCACTGCACTCCAGCCTGGGTGACAAAGCAAGACCCTGTCTCAAAAAATAAGGTAAAATAAGCCGGGTATGGTGGTTCATGCCTGTAATCCCAACACTTTGGGAGGCCAAGGCAGGAGCATCACTTGAGGTCAGAAGTTCAAGACCAGCCTGGCCAACATGGTGAAACCTTGTCTCTACTAAAAATAAACAAATTAGCCCTCATCTCTACTAAAAATAAACAAATTAGCCAAGAATGGGGGCACACAGTTGTAATCCCAGCTACTTGGGAGGCTGAGGCAGGAAGATTGCTTAAACCAGGGAGGCAGAGGTTGCAGTGAGCGGAGATCGTGCCACTGCACTCCAGCCTGGGCAACGGAGTGAGACTTCATCTCAAAATAATAATAAAAAAATAATAAAATAAAAATATTTTCCAGGCAACAGAGAATAACATCCCTCTTTCCAATAAATCAATAGCCTGCACACCAAAACTAGAGGTGACTCAAATGATCTTTACACATTCTTTGAAGTAATGTCTCCTGTTCTTTAGAAAATAAAGTATGTAACATGTAACCAAAACTTAGACTTCATAATCAAGGTCTCATAAGTAAAACTTCTACCCACATGTTAACAGGTTGCATTTCTTGCTTCAGTTTAGAGAGCAGTGACTGATACTTGTCTTTTGTGAATTGTCACTGATTTCTTTTTTTTTTTTTTTACTTTGAGTAAGATAGAAGACTTTGAAGATAAGACTTATATAATGGCTTCCATTTTTAAAAGGCTTGCTCTGGTTGCTAGGTGGAAAACAGTTTAAAGCAGAACAAGGATAAGTTAAGCTGGAGTCCAGACAAGCAATGATGGTGGCTCACACCAGAGTGGTATGAATAGAAGTGGTGAGTAGTTGGATTACAAACATATTTTGAAGGTAGAGTCGATAAGGTTTCCTGACTTTTATGTAGGTATGAGAGAAAGAGAAGAGTCAAGATTACTACGATGAATTTACACTGAGCAAGAAGATGGATGAACTGCTTTAACTGAGATAGAAAAGGAAGAAAATGCAGAAACTTGTGGGTGGGATTGGGAGATTAAAAAATCTGTTTTAAATATGCCAGTAGAGTTGTCAAGTAGGGATTTGGATATACAGGTCTGGAATTCAAAAGGGAGGTCTGGATTTGAGATGGAAATCTGGGAGTTGTCAGGATATAGAAGATATTTAAAGTCATGAAAATAAAAGTATAATTTCATAGGGCATCCCAGAAATATTTTAAAACCAGAAGTTCTTGTTTTCCCCATTTCCTACTCCAAACCAATTCAAAAGTGTCCTGTGGAGAGATGCTGCTGGCTTACAGATTCTCTGGGCCTGGGCACTGGCACCCAGCTTGGATGCACCTGCTGAGGCTTACTAGTTGGCAGGTGCACATCACCAGCCATCAGGAAGTCATGGAGATGACAGTTTTGGCTCTGAGTAGCTGAAGCAATTATACACACCCTAGTCCTGGCAGCTCCTCCAGTATGAAGGCAGGCAGGCTGCCAGACTTGTACCTTTATGGTGTGAATACATAACCATGTCTCACCTAATGAGGAGGCTGCACTCCAATAACATTCTTGCTTGTCAAAAATTTATAAATATATATATATATATATATACTGAAAGCTGATAGACTCCCTTCAAATATGTTTGATAAAGAAGTCACATGCCCCACAAATAACTAAATATTAATTATTAAAGATTAAATATTTCTTCCAAAATAAAACAGGTATCTGACTACATAGGAAAACAAGAGAGGAAGGCAAAGATTGTTTAAATCTAGGAAAGATTGGAAAAGGTCTATGTTCAGGCAGAAAGAAAAATAATGTTGGTATCACCTACATAGGCTTGCTGAAATCAGAGAACTAAGGTGTACATTGCGAAAAGGGAGTAAGCCAAAAGCAAGTGGAACTAAAGTTGGAAGCACTCACTAACTCCCTGGGTTGCACTAGAATGGGCAGCGCAAAGTCCAATATCCAGTGTTCAAAGAATTGCATAAAGCCTGGGCTTCAGCCTAACATCTATTGGCTGTGTCTTAAAATGGCATCTGGCAAGGAGCCTCTGAACCAGCGTTCCCCAATGTCCCATCCGAACTTCTACGAAGAAGCTCAGAAAAACATGAAAATTCCATAATGCACTGAGAACAAGTTGGAAGAGCCAACACATTGCCAGAAGATGAGAGTAATGTTTACTAAATATAAAAGTGAGAGGACTAGACTCAAAAATGTACCCTGTGGCCTACCTGTTTATGTTTGGTGTTGGTACAATGACCTCTCCACCCCCGGCTGCCCATGACTTAGAAGGTAAAGGCAATAGAACAGGAAAACAGGGTAGTTTTCTGACTGCAAGTTTTCTACTTTTTGAAGCAGCCTTCTCCTTCATCTCCTCTCATCAAGGATGAAGAAAATAAATCTATAGGCTAGGCGCAGTGGCTCACACCTCTAATCCTAGCACTTTGAGAGGCCAAGGCAGGTGAATCACCTGAGGCCAGGAGCTCGAGACCAGCCTGGTCAACATGGTGAAACCTGTCTCTACTAAAAATACAAAAAATTAGCTGGGTCTGGTGGCGGGCACCTGTAATCCCAGCTACTCAGGAGGTTGAGGCAGGAGAATCACTTGAACCCAGGAGGCAGAGGCTGCAGTGAGCCAAGATCACATCATTGCACTCCAGCCTGGGCAACAAGAGTGAAACTCCAAAAAAAAAAAAAAAAAAAAAAAGAAGAAAGAAAGAAAGAGAGAGAAAGAAAAAGAAAGAGAGAGAGAGAAAGAAAGAGAGAGAGAGAAAGAAGGAAAGAAAGAAAGAAAGAAAGAGAAAGAAAGAAAGAAAGAAAGAAAGAAAGAAAGAAAGAAAGAAAGAAAGAAAGAAAGAAAACGAGAAAGAAAGAAAAGGGAAATCAATACGCTCGTAGCTTATGCATGAAGATAGAGTAATGGTAGGGCATAAGAAAAGGACATAAGCCTGCCTTCTCCGGGATTCTAATTCTGCCCCTCTTCCCTTCCTCCACTGTTTTGTTTTTACTTTTTTTATGGCCTCTGTCACACTCTATTGTATTAACTGCTCATTGTCCTGCTTCTCTACCTAGCTGTGTGTGCCTGGAGGGCAGGTACGGTTTGATATTTTAGGGTTTCCTTGCACTAGCACAGGGCCTGATATGTAATATTAAGCTGAACCATACAGAAGTGCTGGTTTCAATTATTGCCCTAGAAAAGTAAAAGTAGCTATTTCATATAATTCAATCTGATCTGACTCAATGAATATATATTTAATCAATGATGAATAAATTAGAAACTTATTCTCCACAGAATAACAAGAACAAACTCGCCCCTGGAACTCTAATGATCAAAAGACCAAGTGACAATATTTGTAGAATTTTGAGTGAAAGTATTTAAAGTCTGAAATGTATACTCATATAAACTGTCTCTGATATTAAAGGTCTCAGGAGTCATACCATATAACCTTCATGGAAAAAAAAAAAGATTGTAAAGACATATCCCAAATGGCCGAGATACTCCAAATGGTACTGGGATATTAATGTTATGTGAAATTCCTGGTAGGGTCTCTCCAAGGAATATAAAAATCCATAATAGTGATTAATCACAAAAGTCTTACCAAGGATTAGTACCTCTGAAAACCACACTAAGCTTCAACTGGCCTCTCTAATGACCTCCAAGAAAGGAGAGGACTGGGGCTATCATTCATAATAGCATCTGGATGAAGCTGAAAAGTAAACAACTATCAGGCTTGGGGCAGGTAGAGACCTGGAGAGCTGACCCACCTGCAGGCGTTGAGCACAGACATTAAGAGTGGGAATAATTCTTACACTCATTCGCCATTGGTTCAAGCAAAAAGTTGGCCAGGAAGGTTGGTGGAAAGGAGATCACAAGATACAGAGGAGACACCTCAAAAGTCAGATAGAGCCCAGGAATTCAGGCCGAATGATAGCCCCAGAGAGGCGCTGAGCTGACGTTTAGGGGCCAGCCTCTAGTTCCTGGGAGTAGAGAGTCATTCCCAGACTAAGGCAGATTAGAATAGGAGCTTCACGACTAAGGAAGAAATGTCTATTTTTTAAATACTTTTCTTTTTTCTTTTTTTGAGACTGAGTCTCACTCGGTCGCCCAGGCTGGAGTATAGTGGTGCGATCTCAGCTCACTGCAACCTTGCCTCCCAGGTTCAAGTGATTCTCCTGCCTCAGCCTCCCAAGTTGCTGGGATTCCAGGTGCCTACCACCATGCAAGGCTCTCTTTTTTTTTTTTTGTATTTTTAGTACAGGCAGAGTTTCACCATGTTGACCAAGCCAGTCTCGAACTCTTGGCCTCAGGTGATCTGCCTGCCTTGGCCTCCCAAAGTGCTGGAATTATGGGTGTGAGCCACCACTCCCAGCCAAGGAAGAAATTTCATTGTAGCAACAGGAACACCTGGTCAGGTTAAACTGGCAGCAGGTGTGCTCTGAGAATCTCCTGCCTCCCCTCAGGGCCAGTCCTCTCCATGCCAAAGAATGGAAGTGGGGCAGAACCCGCCCATGAGGAGAGGTGAGGATATAGAAGTACACAGAGGTTGGGACCAAGCCAGACTTTCGGTGGCTCCCCACAGCTGAAGGATAAATTACAAGCTTTATAACCTGACACACAAGGCTCCAGAAGATCAGGTCCTGCCTGTCATTCCCAAGCACCCCTACAGAAATGCATTTTGGCTCATTGAACTAGACCCATCCCTAAGTAGCTTCTGCCCCAGTCAGTGACTCCCTCCTCCATGTGCCCAGCTATGAGACACACACCACTCTGCTCTGTAATGACTCAACTACATCTGTGTTTCTGCTACTTGGCAGGGACCATCTCCCCACATCCACTGTGCTTATCACAGTGCCAGCTCATAGAAGGTAGAAAATACAGCACAAAACAAATCAGTGTGACCTCAGAGTGGGGCTACTGAATTTATTGACATAAGGAATAAAAGAGACCTTGGGCGGTGGCGGGCGCCTGTAGTCCCAGCTACTCGGGAGGCTGAGGCAGGAGAATGGCGTGAACCCGGGAAGCGGAGCTTGCAGTGAGCCGAGATTGCGCCACTGCAGTCCGCAGTCCGGCCTGGGCGACAGAGCGAGACTCCGTCTCAAAAAAAAAAAAAAAAAAAAAAAAAAAAAAAAAAAAAAAAAAAAAAAAAAAGAGACCTTGGGGACGAGCTTGAACTTTACCCTGACTGCTTCTTTGATCTCAGCCTATAAATCTTTCATAGAAATTCTCGTCTTCCCCCTCCTCATGGTAGGAGGGTGACAGGTGCAACCGGCTGTCATCGAGGAATGTTTATGAATGATGACAAGAACCCAGGACTTGAGGAGTGTTACTTTTGGGTGTTATTTTTTAACTCCAGAAGACAGCACCTATGAAAAATATTTTCTGATTTCACTGCCTCTATGCATAAATAAATAAATACGAGGCAACTTGATTTAGTGGAAGAACCGCAGACTTGGTTGAACAGATTTGATTTCAGATTCTAGCTCTACCACTTAATGGGGAAGTAGGGTGATAGGCTATAAAATTGAGACATTATCCACTAGCCCACAGAGTTCTGAGAATCATTGAAAAATCAATGTAATATGCCTAATTCTGAGCTGGGTTCCTATTATACATTCAGCAAATGTCTATCCCTTCCTCCTGCATCAGGGAGCACACCACACCCTCCTTTGTCAGATTCTACTCCAGAGTCTCAGAAGATCATTTTTCTCAAAAACTTCCAAATAAATTCTACATAATGCCACACATATCTGTGAGAAAATTCCTTGTATTTAGTGTTCCCTATTCCGCTAAATGATATGGAGCATCACCAAGGAGGTGAATTCTGGAATCCACTGGGTACAGCACAGGACAAAAGACTTCAGTGTTCCTTTCAAATCCAAAGATGCCACGAGATTCTTTGGTGCCTATGGATGGCTTTAGCCTCTACAACTGTGAGGATAAAACATGACTGGATTTGCTTCTGTAAGGACCTAAGTTGTCCATGCCCTGGATGCTCCCAGGACAGCATCCTCAGGAGCAAACCTTCTTCCTCATTAAAACTTCAAGGGGAAATTGGGAAGTTCAGAGAGAAACTCAAACTAGGCATGCAGAGGGTGCGAATGCAGAAGAAAAGGACTCTGTAAGTGCATGGGCTGGAGATGGAGCAGATCCTCCAGGGATAATTTTGGCCTGCAATTCTGCACTGTGTCTAAAGGAGTGATAACCAGCCTTTACCACCAGCAGATCTGGCTCTCAGAAAAGCTCAACCTGGAGACTGAAGTAATGCTGCAAAGGGTTCCCAGCCAAGTGCAATGATCAGGATCAGGGCTAGCAGAGCCACACAGCCATGTGCCTTTCACAGCCTTCGTTCTGAAACACTTAACTCGGGCTGACCTCTTCTTTCCTCCTGGCTGTACAGCCTGTGGTCACTCTGCTGTTTCCTTTTTTCACTGTATTCCTATCAGTTCCCCAGACTGGACTGTGACTTCTTTTGTGAGCACAGGGCTGCTTCTCTCCTGGGAAGAGGGTCTTTGGGTAACTTGGAACAGCATACCTCTCAATTTTAATTGATAAGAACCTACCTGTGTCAAGGCCATTGTCACCGTCCCCACTCCCACTCTCCCCATGGGGCTCGCTTATTACCAGGTGGCCTCAGCATTCTGGGGGATCACTGCACTAGGAATGGCACCACAGGTGAAGCCAAGGGTATATGTAGGGGTCCAGCCCTGTGAGCTGTAGAGGAAGGCTAAGGTTTGGACAGGGCTCTGACTTAGCAGGGAAGAGGATGCTAAACAGAAGCTGAAAATTGAACAATCTGGAGACAAGGGCAGTTGGGTTCTAAGGGTGTCCTGATCTTCCCCAAGACACTCAACCTACTAAGTCTATAGTATTAAATAACTTCATTAATCCCCCTTCCAGTAATAAGAGGGGGAGGTCTCCTTGTCCTCGCAAGGATCAATCGAGATTGGAATGAGACTGAAGGCAGAGGGGGACCTTAACAACTAGGGACTGCACCCCAGAGTCATTTTATGCCTCTAATATCCAGCAACACTGGACCTCCATCCCACCTCATGGCCTTTGAGCAGACTCCTTTTGCTGGCAGGAATGCTCTTCTGCTGCCTTTCTCTCTACACGAGGGATTCCTGGTCATGCTTCAGCATTCAGCTCTTTCCTGAACCCTAGACTAAACCAGGTTGTCCTGCTATTCATTCCTAAGAGTGCCCTGCCTTTTTCTTGATAGTCCCTAATACCGTCGATAATTATTTTTCATATCTTTTAATTAATGTCTGTCATCTCTAGGTTATAAGATCCATGAGGCAGAGGTAGCATGGGTTTTGCCCACTGTTTTATCCTTGATACTAGAAGCATAATAGGTGTACAATAACTATTTCCTGAGTTAAGCGTTAATGAATTAATGTTGACTGCTTCTCTGGCAGCAATGTGCTCAGCATCCTGGTTGTGTCCCCTCATACAAGCCACATAGGATCTAATGTCATTGGTAATCTCATTGTTTGTATTTTCCAGGTGAGGGAATTGAGGCTTAGAGAGGCTGTCTCGCCTTCCTCAGGTCTCAGACCTAGGAAGTGGTGGTGCCATGATTTGAACACAAGCCTGCCTGATGCTCATGTTTGAACTCTACACTGTTTTTGCAGGGGGAGTAGGAACAGGCATTAAGTTTGAAGTTCATGGGCTGGCTAAGGGTCTTCTCTTCCCTCACTAACCGCACAGCATTGGCATGCCAGTGACTCCTGGGCCTCAGTTTCCCCACTTGTTATGTGGAGGCAGATGAACTAGGTGATCTCTGAACATTTGGGGCCTACCAGATTCCTCATGGAGGAGCTGCAGAGTGCTTCCTGGGCCAAGAGTGTTGCTGTATGACTTTCTTATCTCCTCCCCTGATAATAGGTGTTCAAGACACTGATATAGAAATGGCAGAAAATGGGATATTCCATCTTGAAGTGAGAGGGGTCTCTTTTCAGATTATCCTGGTCACAGAAAGTTCTTGCACAGCTCTTCACTTCAGGCCTAGGCCTATGGCCTGTGATCTGCCTTCTTGCCACCCTCTGCCTTTACCATGTGCCAGGCTGGTGGCTCACACCTTAATGGTTGGAGCTCTATCCCTCCATCCCCCTCCATCCTCTAGAGACACACTGTCACCTTTTCAAATGCCTAGTATGTCCACGTAAGTGATCTACCATTATTTCAATCTCACCATTTCAAATTATACCACGTTTCAAACTGTACTCATTATCTTCCCTAATATATACATCTAAACTGTTTTTCAAAGTCCTTGTATCTTTTAGGGGCCTAACAATGCCCTCAGGCATGAAAGCTAGAAAACTTGTCTAGAGGAAGTCATCACTGACTCCTCTCTTTGCTTCACCCCCTCTTCCCGCCAGTCCCAAGCCCTCCAATTGCCCTTTGCAATGTTTCAGGGAGAGACCCCCATCTGGTTGTAGCCATTCCCACCCTCCTAGGCAGGTCCAAGTCAGATTATACCTAACTGTCTGTGGGAGCCTTCCTGCCAGTCTTCCTGCTTTGACCTCTCTCATTTCAACCCACATTGCCACCCTTTGCCCCTAGTACCGTTTGGAGTCAAAGGTCAGTCAATCGTAGGAGTCAGAGGTGGTGAGAACTGGGTCAACCAGCAATGTCAGGTTTCGGTTGGGCCATGGGTTGGTGAAAGCTTTCTTGGACATTGCTAGGAACACAGCAGGAGCCAGTTCCTAGAACGTGGATTTCCACAGTGGTTCCATGCTGCCGGGAAACGTAACTGCTGGATCTGTTTTATTTTTCAATCTGCCACGGGAATCTTCAGTTTACTTGCTCCTGATGTCAGCATCACTTCACTCTGCAAACCTCACCCAGTGGCCTAGCTGGGCTGCTCTAGGCACCGTCCCACCCACACCAGGCTTATTCCTGCCTCTTTCATACAATTCATCTCCACCTGGGAAAACTTCCCCCTTCATTTTTCACCCACAAAATCCACACATATTTCAAAGCCAAAGCCTTGCCCCACCTTGCTTCCAATCTCTTTCACCATTTCCAGGTCTCCCCAACCCCCAGCACATAGGTGATTCTTGTAGCTCATTTAGCCTCCACTTAGGTCTCCTCAATGGTTTTTAACTACCTTCTAACCCATTTACTCATCACTTCAAGAAGCTAAAGACATGGCAAGCTCCTTAAGCACGGGAACTCTGCCTGGCCCTCCCCCAGCCCAGCACAGCCTGGAGCCATGACATAAGCTCACCAAGGGTTGTTGCTGGGTTGGTAGTGATAAAGGGTCAGGTGAGTTACTCTGTCAGAAGCTAAGTGCACAGACCCACAACCTTCATATCCTAGGAACAAACAACATGGTAAGGATTCTGTTAGCTCAGAAGCCACGATCTCCACTTCTATCTGCATGGTTACAGCTCTAGCTGCTCACCCCAGAAACATCCTGTGGTAGCCTTGATCAGTAAATGCCCTAATTGCAACACCCACAATTTGGAGTAGCTGCTTGTGACTTCAACTAGAAAACCTAGGATGTGCAGGAATAGAAAACCCCAAGGGACACATCTATATATGTACATCGTTGAAAACCCTACATGGAGAGCTATTTAAGATTCAAGTTGATCTTGCAACTGCCTGCAGCTTCTCCAGATTCTAAAGCCCCATAAAGGACTTTCTCTTGTAAAGAAAGGGAGTACTCAAACACATCTATACTTATCCCTTTCTAAAGGATCCAGGAAAGACCCCTGAAAAACGTAGCGTGGGTTTCCAGGGGCATAAAAAGACTATAGACTATTAACGATGTCAGTGACAATATGGAGTGAGGATGTTTGTATCCAACGTCTATGTCCATTTGAACTTCCCCTAACCTCCCACACCCTCACTCAGATTAGGTGTGTCCTCTTCCTCCATCTAAAAGCATTCCTTTACAGTCATCCATTCTGCCATTGACATCAAAATTTCCTTTTTCTTGAAAAAAAAAATCCTTCCTCTTTATTCATTGTCCTTTACTATAACTCAAACTCCCATGCTTGTTGTTTTCAAGCCCACTGCAGCCTCTGTAAACATCCTATGGACAATGTGCCCAAATGTCACAGCTTGCATTGCCGCTTTCTGCAGCCACAGGGCGATCCTGAGGTCCTGCAATGTTCGGCTGGCGACGCCTGTATCACAGCGACATCTGCTGGAAGAAGCTTCACACTGCAGCTAATGATACCACCGTGCCTCTGCCCGGGGATCCACACAACAGGTGCCCAGGGGCGCAAGGCAGCCCGACTGCTTCGAGGCTAGTTTACACCTATATGACCCACTTCCTGCCAGCTCTGAACAAAAGAAAAAGTAATTAATATTCACCAGGCATTCCCTGTGTGTGCCAGATAGATGCTAGGTGCTTTCCATACGCAAAATAAGATGCTGTCATCACCCCAGGAACAGCTGGTAGGATTCTTGTTCAAACGAAGCAGGCACGCAGGTTTTTTTGGTTTTGTTTTTGTTTGATTTTGTTGTTGTTTAAACTTTTGTTTTAATTTGTGTGGATACATAGTAGGTGTACAGATTTATGGGGTACATGAGATGTTTTGATACAGGCATACGGTGCATAATAACCACATCATGGGAAATGGGATATCCATCCCCTCAAGCATTTATCCTCTGGGCTAAAAAACAATCCAATTATACTCTTTTAGTTATTTTAAAATGTACAATTAAGTTTTTATTGACTATAGTCACCCTGTTATGCTATCAAATACTAGGCCTTATTCATTCTGGTTTTTTGTACCATTAACCATCCCTACCTCTCCCTTACCTCCCACTACCCTTTCCAGCCTCTGGCAACCAACCTTCTACTCTCTACATCCATGGGTTCAATTGTTTTACTTTTTAGATTCCACAAATAAGTGAGAACATGTGATGTTTGTCTTTTTGAGGCACACATAATTTGAATGCTGCTGTCTGACTCTAGCAGCAGATCTGAAGTTTCAAGGCCTAAGATGAGGTCCTGTTTATTATTCTGCTGGAGTTTTAGAAATGATGCCATTAGTCTCTGACATCATCCATCGTTTGACATTTTTATCCAAACACATGTAAGCATTATCATAGGGGGTAGTAAGCAAAGAAGCAAAGAGATGAGGCTTTTATCAAGCATTTACTAAGAGCCAGGACCATTTCATACACCATCACATTTAATTCTCAATCAAAAAGTTGACACCCTCATTTAATAAATGAAGGCTTGGGAATGCTAATTAATTTGACCAAGTTTGCAGAGCTGGTAATTGGCCTGAAATTTAAACTTAGTGCTCTTTTTTCCAAGTCCTTTGGGATTTGCTCTTCCTGCAGCCTAAAGCTGTGCTCACATTTCTATGAAGCTGGCCCTCAGTATGTAAGAAAAGTAATTTTTCATCAGCAAAGGCAGCTTAATAGTAAAGACAGGGCCCCAACATCAGCAAAAGTCAGAAAGAGAAATGGGACCGAAATTCCATTCGGAGCAGAATTATGGATCAGCTGAGCACATTTTTTAACTAAAATGCATCACTACCTTTTTGTACTTCCTTGTGAAACATCTTAATAAGTGGGGGGTGGAGTATATAGTCGAGACCATGCTGTGACCATCTAGTTTGCAAGAAATAACAAATGAGCTGAAACCACCAGGAGATGGATTGGTGCTGAGGGAGAGCAGCCTCTGATTCCAAAGTCAGGACTTAAGTGGCTTTAGCACCTGAAATAGGTGGACTCCCCATTGGGATCTCTGATGATGACGGGGGGAGAGCAGCTTCGTTGCGGGAGAGAGCAGCTTCGTTGGGTAGGAGAGCAGCCACGCAGGGTGGAAAGCACAATCACAGCAAAGTCAGAACACAGACAGCATGAGAAATTCAAGGTCGCAAATGGAGCTGTACAAAGGACATGCCTGGGATACCTGAAAAGAGGAGGCTCTGAGAAATCCAGTGACAATGGTAAGGACAGTAAAATTCCCCTTCACAAAAAAAAAGGACCCAGAAAGCCAAGCTGGGGATCTATGTGTATGTGAGTGAGTGTGAGCTTGCATGTGTGTGCTCATGTTTAGTGTGAAAAGCCACCATTTACATATGTTCAGAAAATCTTTCTGAGCCCATACATTGGCCACTGTTCTCTGCATCTGCCCAGCAGACTCCTCACACTGATCCTCTCTGGCTCCTGATAGTCAAATCCCCAGAGCAGATGTGGACCACGTATAGAGACCCAGGGAACACCCATGGCAGGAATCATCCCAGCACCATAGTGATGGTGCTCACTGCCCATCTTTCTTCATGTTTCCCACCCCAAATATGCTAGGAATCACCGCATTTGGCTCCAGAAAACTGGCCCACCCAGTGCCATCTAGACTGCATGGTTCACCATCCTCTCCAGTGCTGTGACCCCCTACCTGTCTGAGGATCAGATGCTAATCTTTCTTAGAGCTTCACAGCTTAGATAAAGTCCTGGGAGTTTCCCTAAGGCAGGGGGCATTTTGTTCCTACCTATCTCCCTGGTGCCTAACATTTTAGTAGGAGGGATAATGCCTTTAGTGGAGATCCATTATTTATACTTCAGTGGGAATTTCAGAGCTTTCCTTTTACTTTATGAACAAAGAGTGGTAAACTGCCCAGCTAGGAGAACTGAGCTCAAAAAACCATAGCCTTATTCCAGACTCTGCCTCACCCACATTATGAATGATCTTGGCCTCTCTGAGCCTCAGTTGTTTCACATATAAAAAGCTTCCCTGAGATTGGGGAAAGGGGAAAGTGGAAAGTGGAGCAACATCATGGAAGTAAATATATTGATGTCAATTGGATATTATCCTATAAATGTTTCTAAAATTTTTAAAAGTCAGTATGCAACCGTAAGTAAGTAAGCATTGAAATGGAAATTCGATATTTCCAGAGACCATGTTGCATCTAACAGCTGAGTCTGACTCCAGGCCCATCACTAGTTCCAAGCTTATCATCATCATCATCATCATCATCATCATCATCATCATCATCACCATCATCTTTTTTGAGCCTATGAGGTGTCAGGACTAAGACTTATAGAGTATCTCATTGAATCGTAAAAAATAACATTCTGAGGTGAATATTAATATTATTTATTCTTGCTAGGTGAGGAAATCAAGGCTCAGAGAGCGGAAGTCCCTGGCCAAAGGTCTCATGGCCAGTATGTAGCCCAATCAGAATACGAACTCTCAAATGCCTGAGAGAAAGCACATGCTTGTACATGTAATCCCTTCCAGCAAATGACCCATGGGACTGAGTCCTCTGCAGGAATGCTGATTCTATGCAGGATAACTTCCCTAACATCTCAGCTTTGGTGTTTGACAACCAAAGGCTAGGAATTATTTTATAATTCTTATGAGAGCCCTAACCTCAAAGTCACTGAACTGGAGAAAACAAATTGAATTTCCTTTTAAGTGCTAGCACTCCAGGTGTCCCTAGTGCCAGGCTGGCTGAGAAGGATGCAGGTGACATCCATGGGAAGAATGTCAATGTTGAATTAGCTGATTAGATTCTTACCTCATAACCTGAGGGCAGGCACACTTAGCTCTTCTTCCGTGTGGAAGATAGCAACTAAGAAGTCTGCAGCTACTTAAATTCACTGTTCGTTGATCTGCTGTGGTTTGCAAATGACCCCTCTGGTAACATAAGTTAAGCATCCTTAAAGGAGCTATAAAATCTAATATCCCCTGACCTATCACTAACACTAACAAGTGCCCAAACCTTTCTTTTCTCAGAGAGGGCCTGGGGCTCCCAGCTCACGGGCAAGCCTTGAGCTCACCAAACATTGTTCCTGATGGGCCCTATCCACACTGTTGTCAGGATGGCTTTTACAAATGGAATCCCAATTGCCCAGAGAGCAAGTGAATGGTCCAAAATTGCACCCTCCCTATAGAAACTCTAGCCAAGGCCAGGAGAAAGAAGAAAGTGGTAAAGGTATTCTTCTGAGTATTTTCAGAGCTCACTGATTTATCCAAAAATAATTAATAAGTACAAACTCCCTGCCAGGTGCTGGATCTCAGGGAAAGCAAAGAAGGAGATGCTTGCCCTGCTCCCAAAAGGTGCCCCAAGTCTGTGGATTCTCTTTAGTTGAATAGACAAATGTATCGAAAGAGCATGGAGATATAGTGTGATGAGTGTGTTCATCAGGAGGCGTTCAAGACAGTAACCTATATGGGCCTATAAGGGCGTCAGTAACCTATATGCTGGTGACCAGGTGGACTTCATAAGGGAAGGGTCCCAAGAGCTGGGTCTTAAATAAAGTACAATTTCCAGCAGAGATCCCCTGGAGGTCTTGCTTGAAGTTGTCGCTCTGTCCTTCCCTTGAGTTTGGAGTGATTGATCACAGGCAGAGAAAACTGGGAAGCAACTTAATATGTCTCTAGGTGGCTGTTGAAAGGGGAGAAATTGGTAAAAGGATGCCTGGTGTAAGAACCAAGAAAGAAATGACTGTCAGAGACTGAATGGCCAACAGCATCCCCAAAGACCACAGAGCCGAGATTATGATGGAGGATGCTATTTTTCTGACCTGGGGGAGAGATCCTTTGCCCTGCTAGTTAGGGAAGTGGGGGTGATCCTATGGGGTTTTTTACAGGCTATTTCAATATATGTAAATCACAGCAGCTTCATGGAGAGCTGCTCAGAGAGCAAGCAAAGAAAGGAAGAATTGGGGGAAGGGGTGTTGCCGCCTCTACTGTGATCCGAACAGCGGCTGCAGCTGGGCTTATTATTTCTTGCAGTGTGGCTCTTGCCACCAGCGACAAGATGAATTTTTCAACAAGAGCCTTGCTGATGCTTTTCTCTGTTCAAGCCCAGACAAGAAAAATAATCATCTGTTAGAACAAAACACAGAAAATAAAAACTATCTTCACTTACAGATCTTTTTCGTTAACATACAAATGCTTTAGAGGGGAAATAAACTTTTGATAAAATTAGATGAGGCAACTCAAGAAGAGAGCAATCAAAGGAAAATGGAAGGAGCCAATCATTCAGCAGGGGTCAGAGATTCAGAGCCAATGATGATAGAATTGCTGGAAAGTCAAAGAAGGAAGGTGGAGACTGCCAGCCTGAGTCACTGGATTATATATTGTGGGGCTCTATGAGGGCTTTGGGGACAGTAGTTTTCATTTCCTATGTTCTGCTGGAAAAGCAAAAACATATGGGAAATAAAAGGGTTAGCTTCCATTGGAGTGGCCATTGATGTTGCCCTGAGAAATGTGGTTCAATGGCAGCAATGGAAGCTACGCTTGACCTCCACGTCCACTTTTCTGGGTTATCTCAGATAGTGTCTTTCTAAACCTTCCCTGACAGTTTTTCTCTCATCCCCAAAACTCCGAGATGCCTATCATGATGGATTGCCCTTGCCTGTGTCCAACTCAGCCTCCCTTACTGGGAGAAGAGCCCCTCACGGGGGAACTGACTTTATGCCTTGCACCTGAGATAGGGCTTGGCACAGAGCAGGGCTTGTTTCATGGTGGTTGATAGTAGTAAGAACTCACACTGAATTGTACAGTTGAAGCAATAAGAACTGTTAACCAAGCTTGTTGCACAGCCAGTGCCTCTAAACACATCTCCAAAGCCATTGCTCCAAACGATCTCCAGCAGCATCAACCGCTTGCTACATTGTCCCACTTTCAGTTCAAAATGTGCCAACTGAATTCATTGGTTTATTTTCCCAAGCTGCTTCTGACTTTCCTCATGCCATAGTAGCCCTGGATTTCAGCTCCTTGGATATGTGGCTAAGTCCACCTTTTCCCATGCCTCCCCCATCCCTCCACTGCAGATGAGGGTTCATAAACTATTTGAATAGAAAATCATCGGGGGTCCATCTAGGTCCCTTTTCCTGATGCTCCGAAGGATTGAACGTGAGTATACCCCTTCACATCCTGGCAGATTTGAGAAAAAGTGACTCATTCTCTGGTTGTTAGTGACTGGGCTCTGGATGGACTTTCAAGATCTCTTACAAAAGAACTAGAAAATAGTATCAAGGGGAGAAAAAAGAGAAGAAACTAGATAGAGTGGTTCTGACAAAAAGAGATAAGGATGGGACTTTTCCTGATGTTAAGAAGATGTCAGAGAATGGAGGAGGGGAGAAGCAGTGAGGGTGCTTATGCGGCCATGCCGGAGCCTGAGGGTTTCTCCTGAGGAAAGTGACACTAAAGGAAATTGAGCACGGGGATCCAGCCAAGGAGCCCTGGGAGTGATGCTGTGCAGATTCCCAGGAGCTGTGGAAACTGAGTCACCACCAGAAGACTTCACCCCCTACATGCAAAGTCTCCCTTTGGCAGAGTGGATGGCATCTCGTCAGTATTCAGCCTCTCCTTTGCCAAATGCCCTGCAGGAGGGGCACTCCTCGATGTCTTGGATTTTGCTCCAGCCCTACATAGTAGCCAGCCTCCAAAATGGCCCCTTATCATCCCCACCTCCTCGTATTTACACCCTTAGTAGCCTCTCTCTCTCTTGCTCTCTCTTTCTCTCTCTCTCTCTCTCTCTTACATGCTCTGAGGAAACAAACTAACAAGCTGTCATATCATGAAGAACCTCAGGCGGTCAAGGGGAAGGCCCACGTTACAAGGAACCAGGGCCTCCAGCAACAGCAGTGAGGGACTCGGGCCCCTGCCAACACTCACCTGAGCCATCTTGGAAGGAGGGCTTCCTCCAGCCTCACGTTGAGATGACTGCAGCCCCAGCAGGCCGAAAGCCTGACTTCAACCCCATGAGGGACTCAGATCCAGAGCCTCTCAGCTAATCCACTCCCTGATCCCTGACCCTCAGAAACTATGAAGTAAGAAATATTTGTTGTTTTAAGTTGTTATGTATTGTGGGTAATTTGTTATGTGACAAGATAACTAAGGAACCATGCATTTTATTCCAAGTAGACAACCAGTTTTTCAATCCTAGAATATCTAAACACTCACGAAACAAGGGTGAGGTTACTGGACACTGAGTAGGGTGGTGGTGAGAAACTTACCCCAGTCTCCCCTCCCAGTCTTGAACACACAGGGCTGAGGGAGCAGAGCAAAGCTGAAAGGTTGTTCCTGCCTCTGCAGGGCTTGTCACCCCCATCATTTGTCTCAAGCCACACTCACAGCCCACTGCCCCAAGGACTGCAGCCAGTGCCCTTCCTCTGGCCCCCTGGCCTCCCTCATCTCCCTTGCCTGCCCATACACCTGCCACAGCTCTGAACCACAGTCTAATCAGGACACTTCCCTCCTTACAATCTTTCAATAATTCCCTGTATTTTTATAAAATACTATTTAATTACAATTAGAGCCCTACCCCCTCTCCCACCTCCTTCACAGTAACCTCTACATTCCTTTCCAGCTATTTCTCACATTTCCCCTGAATAACAAGATGGGGAAAGAAGGGTAAGTGTAGTTTTTTGGCTTTGGTTTTGTTTTTGCTCAGCTATAGGGCTAATTCTAAGAGGATGGGTAGCTTCCCCACTCCCATGTCAGCCCAAAAAGAGGAGGATGGCTCAGGCATTGATTTCAGCAGGTGTCAATGTCCCCGGGCATTGGATGTGGGGTGAGAAAAAGTAGTGATGGGAATGGGCAGGGGGTGGACAACCCTAGGTGTCTCCTGGCAGCAAAATCCTAGCTCCTGGGAACACACAAGCTTCCATCAGGACCCCAGCCAGGAATCTGGGCTGGCAACTGTCATGTAGTATGTCAGAGCCCAAGCAAGTGGGCTGGATCAGCCTGGCCCTCAGGCCAGAGAGCCAGCAAGCTCTGCAAGGGCCAAGTGCAGCAGCCCACAGGTGTTGGGGAGTTAGGCAAATGCAAGCACTGTCATGGGGAGCCAGATCCATGCAGAACCCACCTGCTACGCACCTGCCTGGATGAGCACTGACCTGGGGACACAGATGGCTGAGCCTGCAGGGAGAAGCTCCTTGGGCAGCACTCTCCTCTTGGAACAGAAACTGGATCTCACTTAGCATTACCTTGGAGAGAGGTCAGCTCCTGTTGGAAATAGCATGCAACCCTTCCACCATGACTTTCTACCATTAAAGGATTATAGACACAGTTACTTCTCATATCTTCTAGATGCCTCCTCCTTTCCCCATCACCCTTTCACCTCTGCTTCCTCTACTCCCTTCCAACCTCACCAGTTGCTCTGCCTTTCCTCCACTAGGTCACAGGGCTCTGGCCTTTGGTTTTCTAACTAGTGAAGGACTAGAGGGAAGGTGCGAGTCTTGATGGTCAGGGATGCCCCGTCTCATTCTTGCCAGGCTCTTAAATCTCATCTCCCAAAATGTACCATTCTTCCTCTGGCATGGCTTCTCCAGATAAGGCTCACCTCCATGCAGAGGCCACACATAGCCGCACTATCCTAGGGACCCATCCACAATACTGCCTGATGATACATTTGCTGAAAGTCATAAGTAATCCATCATTAGTCAAGTCTTGCATACATTAGTGTGGTGCAGTGCTAGTGAGAGTTCAACGCAGCAGGTTTGGGCTTCCAAGGCTGCCTGCACCATAGCTCCAAGCTGGGTAACTTCAGGCACTTACTCTCTCTCATCCTGAGTTTCCTAATCTGTAGAATGAATATTATAACATAAACAAAGTAATTGAAGAGCCCAGTGAGATAACATAGTAGGCACCACCCTGGTGCCTGGAACATTCTAAATGTTCCAGAATGAGCAGTCTCTTCATCTTTCCCCATATTTCCCTTCATCCTCCCTCTTTCCAAACAAATTGAAAACTCCTTGAGGGTAGGTGCTGCAAATTGTAAGATCTCTGTAGCCCCAGCTCTACCATAATTCCCCCGTATGCTGCTGGAATCAAAAAGGTTGATATTATGATGACAATTTGAGTGGCGGGATGGGCAGGCATTCATCACGAGGATAAGGTTCACACAGATTCACTGCTGGAAAACAACTGAAAGTGTATCTTTGGCAAACAGACTTCCCACATGGCAGGCCACGCCAAACCGGACATGCTCACCTATGACCTCATCTTCCTTACTTATACTAGGATTCTTCAAGTTTCAGAAAACGTACACTGCCAGCTAAGAAGGCCTCAACACCCAAATGTCCCCATCATGACCTGTGCACCTGCAGCCCATGACAGCCCTGGGAGGGACTCACACGAGGGTAGCCTCTGTGCCTGTTGAGTCTCCTGCTCACAAGTACCTCCCATGACACTCAGCCTTTGACTAGCCTCACAAAATCTAACACTCCATGGCTCAGAATTGCGTATTCATTGAGATTACTTCTGTTTTTACTTGCTAGCAATTGGGAACTGGCCAAAGGAAGCTTAGTTGCACTCCTCACCCTTTATTTAGGCAAACCTTCTAGTGAAAGCATCAGCAAAAGTCATTCATGCCCAAAAGAGTATACATAGTACCTGGTCCTAATGGCTGGAGGGTCCAAATGCTACCCCCAATGCCACACAGTTCAGTAGCCTAACGATACCTTCATTTGGGCCCCAAAGATGGTACCCCTCGCCTTTTTCTGGGAAAGGAGAGATTAGGAAATTCAACATCAAACCAAAAGCTTGGATCTTACTTGTGTCTGTCAAAGTTTTCTGTGACAGAGAATAGCATGCAGGGTTCTAAACTGTTAAGTGGAGGGTGGAATAAAACCTAGAGAAAGAGACTGGATCAGTTCTCTTTTGGATAGAGACAGGCCTCAAAACAAAGGGCTCTGGTTTGGAGATTTTGTTTTTCTAGTCACATACACTGTACCAGATCTGGACAGAATTTTTAGCATGAAGTTTGAGGCCCCTACTCTCCAAGCCCTTTCTCATAGTGAGTCCCCTTCTCCTTTCTCCACCAAGACACAATCAGACACCATCTCATCTTGACAGTCACTTGCACAAGCATTGTACCATTTTATGACACATAATTCCCACTTCTTTTCCCTAGGCAACTAGGACTGAAAAATGTATAGGCTACTTCTGGAAAGGGCAGTGAATCCAACAGGAAAACACCCCAAATGCAGATAAATTGAGAACTGGCCTTTTAAAGGTCTAACAGAACTCACTTGTTTCAGACCCTTGAAAAACAAAAGCCTGATTCTTTTCCCCTTGTCTTTTATCTTCAGAAACCACCTTGTCTCTTTAGATTGTTTTTTCCTTCTTCACACAAGGGACAGAATCATTAACAACCCTTCAGGCTTTCCCAGGATCACGTCAATTAATCTGATTTGGGGTATTTCCCTTGGTTAGCAACAGTGAGTGGAGCCATGAGCCTGCTTCAAGCTCCTGAAATTGAAGCCCATGTCATTCACTTCTCATGCAAAGGCTCAAGGCTCCCTGGTGAAATCAGGGACTTAAATTGGCCTTGTTCTTTTACCCAGGCAATTAATAATGCAGTTGGCAAAAAATCACAGCTTGTTTGCTAAGCTCTAGAGACAGCTGCCAACATTCCTTAATTGAGTCCAAACTGCTGGGTTAAGGTGCTTTTCTCCAGGATCTGCTGAGTGGAACAGAGGGGGCTTTGCCAAAGATCTGCTCTCTCCGGGAAAGAAATCCTGGCTGACTGTTTATGTAAGAAAACCAAAACCTCCTGGCTTGTGCACAGTACTTTGTAGTTTACAAAATGTTTCTCAGCAGTTGTCTCAGTAGTTACTGCTCAATATCTTCCATTTTCATTTCCCAAAAAACAAAATGGACTGTGGATACACTCAAATCTAACTTGTTGTCAGGTAGGAACTGACTTCATATAGGGTTGGTCAACCTGGCTTATAAATTTCAATCCTTCCTTAGTTACAGTTCAGTTTCTTCTTGGTCTCTCTCTCTTCTTTTTTTTTTAAATTTTTATTCTTTTTTTATTGTACTTTAAGTTCTGGGTTACATGTACTGAACATGCAGGTTTGTTACATAGGTATACATGTGCCATGCTGGTTTGCTGCACCCATAAACCCGTCATCTAGGCTTTAAGCCCTACATGCATTAGGTATTTGTTCTAATGCTCTCCCTCCCCTTTCCCTCAACCCCCCGACAGGCCCTGGTGTGTGATGCTCCTCTCCCTGTGTCCATGTGTTCTCATTGCTCAGCTCTCACTTATGAGTGAGAACATGCAGTGTTCTGTTTTCTGTTCCTGTGTTACTTTGCTGAGGATGATGGTTTCCAGCTTCATCCATGGTTCTCTCCATCTTCTTTTAACCTCTCAGAACAGTGATACCATACTTCTTTCCACAGAACACACACACACGTGCACACAAGTGCATACACACACACACACACACACAAATGACTAGCTTCCAGAAAACTTTTAGACATATCATGATTCCTACTCAAAATCCTCTGAACTCTTTATTGTTCAAGGATACAGTTTAAAATCTTTAGCCAGATCCTCTATGTTGGTGCATGAAGATCTATGTGATTCATTTTAACCACCACGTGAGAGTATTTTATTGGATGTATAACCCATAATAAATCTACCCATTCTCTTCCTGAAGAGTAGTCCATTTATTGTCACTGTTTGGCAATTACAAATGATGCTGAAATGAAGATTCTTGCCCGTGTCTCTTGTTTATTCACATCGGAGGTTCCCTAGGTAAGAAGTGACATTGCCAGGTCATAGGATATACATATTTTCAACTTTGTTGAGAATTGACAATTTGTCCTCTTAATTATTTGTACTGATTTTAACTCCCACCAGCAATTTATAATTCATCTTTCCTACATCTTCATCAAACACGTTACTAGTCAATAATCCTTAACAATTCTGTAGGTAGGAAATTATATCTCATGTTTGTTCTAATTAACATTACTAGAGAGGGTGGAAATCCTGTTTTACTTTTATTCTCTCTTTTTTTTTTTTGGCCATTCAGATTTCTTCCTCTGTGAATTGTTCACTCATGTATTTTGCCTATATTTCCTCTGTTGACTTGTTTGTCTTTTTCTTGATTTGTAGACATACAAATATATTCTACATACAAATCTTTTTATGATTTCATTTTTCTAAATATCTTATCCTACATAGGTTTTTAATTTTAAAACAGATTGTACTTTATGTTTAAAACACATATCCCTACTCAGTGACATTATGATATTCTCCTTTATTCTAGAAGATTTACAATTTTTTCTTTCATGTTTTAGTGTAGTTTTTCTTGATTTTATATTGGGAAAACTTGAAATTAGTACATGATTTTATCTTTTTCTTTGCCTGTATGGTTAGCCTATTGTCCTAGAAAAAATAATTGAATAGTCCATCTGTTTTCTGCCATGTTTAATACCATTCACCATGTATCAAGCTCAGTTTCATGTGTAGTTCTGTCTCTGAGTTCTCTCTTCTATACTATTATTCTATTTGACTAAGCCTATGTGATATGGTTTGCATGTATGTGTCCTCCAAATCTCATGTTTAAGTGTGATCCCTGCTGTTGGAGGTGGGGCCTGGTGGGAGGTGTCCAGGTCATGGGAGCAGATCCCTCATGAATGGCTTGGTGAAGTCCTCACAGTAATGAGGGAGTTCTCACTCTCAATTCATGCTAAGATCTGGTTGTTTACAAGAGTCTGGGACCTCTGTCTTCTCTCTCTTGCTTCCACTCTTGCCACGCGATGAACCTGCTCCCGATTTGCCTTCCGTCATTATTGTAAGCTTCCTGAGGCCCTCACCAGGACCAGATGCTGGCACCATGCTTCCTCTACAGCATGCAGAACCATAAGCCAGTTAATCCTTTTTTCTTTATAAATTACCCCGCCTCTGGTACTTCTTTATGGCAACACAAAAATGAACTCACTGTGCAAATATCAAACTGTCTTAACTATTATAGCTTCTTATTGTTTGGCTGTACATATTCTTGGCCTCCTTTTCCCTTAGAATCTTAGAATCAGAACACTGAGTTCTATAAATACCTTGTTGAAATTTTGATCATAATCTCATGGTTTATGAAATAATTTTTTGATAATAACAATCCTTATAATGTTGACTCATGCTATAACTTAGCTCTTAAGTCTTTAGGTCATGTTTCGTTATTTTATCTCTATACATTATCTCTAATCCCATAGTTTTGTCTCCATACTGGTATTAAATTTTTTTAAATTATTTGTTGCTATGTGTTAATACACAATGGATTTTGAGTATTAATCTTGTGTCCAGCAATTTTGTGAGCTCTTTGGTTCAAATAACTTTTTGTAAAATCTCTTAAATTTTCTATGCAGATAAGCATATTTTCTATGAGTAACATTACTTTGAGTTCTTCATTTTTAAACTCCATGTCTTCTCTTTCTTTCCTAAAATTAGATTGTTGGTCAGTGTATTAGTCTGTTCTCACACGCTAATAAAGATATGCCAGAGACTGGGTAATTTATAAAAAAAAAAAAAAAAAAAAGAGGTTTAATGGACTCACAGTTCCACATGGCTGGGGAGGCCTCACAATCACGGTGGAAGCTGAAGAAGGAACAAAGGCACATGACAGCGGGCAAGAAAGCATATATGTAGGGGAATTCCCCTTTATAAAACTATCAGATCTCATGAGACTTATTCACTATCATGAGAACAACATGGGAAAACCTGCCCCCATGATTAAATTACCTCCCACTGGGTCCCTCCCACATCACATGGGGATTATGGGAGCTACAATTCAACACGAGATTTGGGTGTGGACACAGCTAAACCATATCAGCCAGAAATACTTGATTATCATCAATTTTATGTGGTTCAACCCAATATTAGTATACTGCCTCAAATTTCCAATGCAATACTGAATAGAAATAGTAATAGAGGGTATTCTTGATTTATAGCTGACTTTTTAGGCAATGCTTCTAGTATTTCACTGTTTAGCATGATAAATACTGCAGGCATTTAGTAAATACCATCTTTAGTTAGGAGACATTCCCTTTCATTTCTGTTTTAAAAGATTTTTAGTTACCTTTTTTCAACTATAACTACCCCTATGAGCCAGGTGTGGTGACATGCACCTGTAGACCCAGATACTCAGACACTGAAGCGAGAGGACTGCTTGAGCCCAGAAGTTCAAGGCCAGCCTAAGCAATATAGTTAGACCCTATATCTAAAAAAAAAAAAACAACAGAACAAACCAAAACAAAAACAAAGCAAACAAAACCTACCACTACATTTCTGGGAAGAACCTACATAGCATGAATTATTTCATAAATAATATGAATGTGTTTCGATATTCTCCTTCCCATTCTCTTTCACACAAACACACACACACTCAGACACCCCTAGGTTTAGTCTGCTAATAGTTCATTTAGGACTTTTGCCTCTCTGACCATAATTAACCTGCAAATCTTATTTTTCATGATGCCTTTGCCTGATTTTGGAATCAAGGTGCTAATGACCTTACAAAATTAACTGGGATGTTTTCCTTCTTTTCTATTCTCTGAAAATATTTGCATAAAGATTATCTATTGCTCAAAGGATTGGAAGAAGATGTCTGTACATAGTCTGGATCTATTTTTCATTAACATTGGAGCAACTGGGTAAATTGCTAATAACTGATTCACCTCTTTTTATGGGAATTTTATATTTCTTTATAAATTATTTTGATGAATATAGTGAATATAAAGGATTCTTCACTAAAATATTCAAATTTATCAGCATGCAGTTATTTATGATTTTTCTCACATGAAGTTTTAAAATTCAGATTCCCTTCAGCTTGAGGATCCCTGAGCCAACTAATTATAAAAATTAGAACTTCAACTGTTGGGGACACAAACCCATGGTCACAAATTATCCTAGGGAATGTTTTTCCTACCCAGGGTCCAAGCAGCAACAGAAAATTTTTTTGCCGTCTGCCTGTGTCTGTGTTGGAAAGTGCATTTTTTCTGGTTGTCTTTCCCACTCACCCACCGCGGTCCTTCTACCTTCACTGCTTTATGCAGGGGTCTCAGTTTCAGCATGCTGCCATGTGCAATGGCAGGACTTACTTTCATTCTGCATGCGTGTTTTCAGAGTCACACCCCTAGCTGGCTGAATTCTACAATCTGCGACCACCCACTAAGGCCACTGAAGGATTAGCTTCCATCCTTACCAGTCTGCTTTCCAGAAACCTTCTCATTTCTAGCACATACAAATTATGCTTTCTTTCTTGTAAGCTTAACTCTGCGTTTAAAAGAATGGTGAGTAATTTCAGAAAGCATTTCTAGTTCTGTAACAATGGCAGTGTCTCTGAGTTACGCATGTGAAATATAACAAGAAGTGAAAGTGTAGATTGGCTCCCAAAGCATCAGAGATTTGAGATCTGAGGAAATGGAGCCATCAAGACATTTAAAACCTAAAATTATGCGGGGATGCTTCATTGAGAAAGAAACATTTTAGCTGAGACTTGATGGATGTGTAGGATTATTTATACAGAGCTGGAAAGGAGAAAGAAAGCATGCTTGGTTATAAACAGATCTTCACAATGTAAATTTAAGGCAACTTCAAATGACAGCTATTTGAAGAAAACAGCCTAAACAAAAAAATCCTGAAGAAAATGGAGTAGACACACATTAGGTGAATAAGAAATAACTATCAAATGAATGAAAAAACCTCATGGTCAAGAGCTTTCAAATGAAACAAGACTGTTTATTCAGCTGTATGCAAACGCTGAGAGCATTACCTCAGAAAAGCCATTCCCACAACAACTGGCCGCAAACAAGACGCCGCTCTGAGTCTGTGTGATTGATACTACAGTAGAGGCCGATGGTGAAGTGGCTGGATCTTAGCTGGAAACTGGCCACTCCAGTGTAAGTGAGGAAGAAGATGTGCTCAAACAGAAGCCCAGTATCTGAGCAATGATGACTGTACAGAGGACACAAAGACCAAGGTGAAATGAACCCTTCTCATAAATGACATAAACATTAGCTAAACTTTATCCTACTCTAAGCACAAGTTCAAGCCTGCTTTCCACCTTGCAAAGTAGATCAGAGGCATTTTTATTCATGAAGTGGATAAAACCTGAGGATAAAAATCTTAGTGTTCTAGTTGTAAATGTAGCTTTTATGGATAGCATAAGAGCTGTGAACAAAGTGATAAAAGGAATGAGGGTGGCCAGACTGTGTTTCCGCATTCTTATTAAGAGAAGACAAATTCAAACACATAGTAAAGTGTTTTGTTTTGTCTTCTCACTTTGGTCCAAAAAAAAAGTGGGTGATAAAATAGTCTGAGAGCTAAATCCTTTTTGAAAGAGGAGTATTATTGGGTGATTCTAAACAGATGAAAGGATCAAGTCCTGTTCATATGAAATAAACACTACTTAAAACCAAGCTCTTTGAACATCTGCATCCAGGAGGAAAATCTTAATTATCTGACAAAAGGCCATTAAATCACTAAGATCTAAGCAAGTTGAACAAGTATTGAAAATCTCTCACCTTCCCTCCACCTTGCATGTAAAGACATCAGTGAAGGTTATTGAAGAAACAGGAGTTGTCTGTGTTGATCTCTGGATCCTCCGGTTGCCTCAGCAATCGACTCCTCAAGAGAAAGTATTGGAGTAAGAAAATCTACTGCAACTAAATGTTTCTCCACCATTGTAGTAAAATTTCTAGACTCAAATATGGAATTTTTTGGCTGTTTTCTACTTTTCCCATCAAACCGTTGTAGGGATCAGAGTTCATTCACACTCACCTTTAGTTGCTAAAAGGAGTATTTTGTGTTCAGGATGCAGTATTTTATTTCATGTTTTCTCTGAGAAAGAGAAGTGGACATGATCAAAAGAAAAAACGTTAAGAAGTTGTTGAGATCAGGTGGAATGGCCCACACCTGTAACCCCAGTGCTTTGGGAGGCCAAGGCAGGAGGATCTCTTGAGGCTAAGAGTTCAAGACTAGGCTCTACCAAAAAAAAAAAAAAAAAACTTATTTTAAAAAAGTTTTTGAATAATGGCATTATAAATGGAATACTATTCAGCCACAAAAAGAATGAAATCCTGTCATTTGAGGCAACATGGATTGAACTGGAGGACATTAGTCAAGTGAAATAAGCCAGGAACACAAAGTTAAACACCTCATGTTCTCATTCATATGTTGAAGCTAAAAAAAAAAAAAAAATTGATCTCATAGAAGTAAAAAGTAAAAGAGTGGATACTAGAGGCTGGGAGGGAAAGAGCAAAGGAGGGATGTGAAGATACAAATAGAAGATAATGTGACATTACATGCAGTGTGGCCTAGAAACTTTCCATTGAAATCCCCTTAGTAATATGTACATTCTCTTTCAATCTACATGCCGGGAGCCATTGCTCTGTGCAAGGCTCAGTGCTGGGCACCAGAGATAAATGTGACTTCGTCATCAGCCGTCTCTCCTCAAAGAATGCCCATCTTTGTGATAAACCTGAATTACATATATATCTACAAAACAGAAAGAGCTAAATGCCTTACCAGAGGAAGAGAGAAAGTACTTCAGGAGTTCAGAAGATTAGGAGGCCTTTTCCACCTCAGCATCTTCCAAAACAATTTCCATCACACTCCAGCACTATGGGAAGTTAGTAGAAGTTACGTTCAAAAATGGAGCTGAAATAAATTTGAGGAACACTGGCTGAAGAAATATTTAATAGATTTCTTTCACTAGGACTTCTCAGAACTTTTAATATTCAGGTATGCATTGCAGATTAGGCACAGTGGCTCACACCTGTAATCCCAGCACTTTCAGAGGCTAAGGCGGGAGGATTGCTTGAGTTCAGGAGTTCAAGATTAGCCTGGGCAACATAGCCAGACCTCATCTCTACTAAAAATCAAAAACAAAAAAAAAAAATAGCTAAGTGTGGTGGTCTGTGCCTGTAGTCCCACTTACTTGGCAGGCTTAGGCAGGAGGATTGCTTGAGCCTGGGATATCGAGGCTGCAGTAAGCTATGACCATGTCACTGCATCCAGCCTGGGTGACAGAGTGAGTTCCTGTCTTAAAAAAAAAAAAGTTACCTATTCTCACTACCCTCCATTTCTTCTTAAACTTACATCAATAAATCCTTTTCCCCCATAATCCCAATGAAACATCTCTCAAGGCTACCAATCTAAGATCAATTCTTCATCCTCTTACTATCCACCCTTTCAACAACTTTTGATATTGTGGCCCCTGGGACATTATTCTCTGTTGTTTCTCCTCCTATGTCACTGGACTGTCATTCTCAGTTTCTTCTGCTGGTCCCTACTCCTCTTCCTGACCCATTTTCCTAACTTCTCTGTCCTTTCAATTTTTTTCCAGTTGCTCTATCAATTACTGAAAAGGGGACCTTTAAAATTTCCAACCACAATTGTTGATTTGTCTATTTCTCCTATGTCACAATTTGCTTCATGTATCTAAAGCTCTTTTATTGGATAGATATGCATTTATGACTGTTATATCTTCTTGACTAACTGGCCCTTTCACATTTATAAAATATCCATCTTTAATGCTGATAATACTCCTTGTCATGAAGACTATTTTTTATGATGCTAATATAATAATTCCAGCTTTCTTACAATAATCTGCATAATATATTTTATTTCATTCTTTTACATTCAACTTATCTGTACTTTTATATTTAATTTGCATCTTATGTGGGTAATATAGATAGGGCTTTTAAAAAATATTATCTGACACTCTGCAGTTGTAATGTTTAAGCCATTGACAATGTAATCTTTAATGAGATTGCATTTAAGTCTAGCAACTTACTAATTGTTTCTATTTTTCTTATCTCTGTTTTGGTCCTCTGTACCTCCTTTCTTGCCTTCTTTTACAGTAATTATTTCCTTAAAATTAAATTTTAATTCTTCTGTTGGCTTTTTCACTGTATTTTACATTAACAGTTATCCTCGGGATTACAATATATATTCTAAAATTATTTTGGCTCTATTATAGTTAACATTATACCCCTACAAAAGAAAATTGAATAACCTTTCAACAGTAGGTTAGTCTAGTTGTACATAACCCTAAGCTTTTTAGTTTGTATTATTGTTCCCTTGCACTTTTTGGTTTGGTTTATTTTTAAGCAGTTTTCCTATTATGTATGTAAGTTTGGTGTTCTTTGTATTTTTTCTGTGTGGAGTTTCCTAAACTTTCTGAATCTGTAAATTCAGTATTTCACCAAATGTGAGAACTTGCCCACCTTTATTACTTCAAGCCCTTTTTGCCCCATTCTCTCTCTCTTCTCCTTATAGAACTACAATTAACATTTGTTAATTTTCTTGATGCTGTTCTATATTTCTCTGAAGTTCTCTTCATTTTTGTTAAATTTCTATTAATCTGTCTTCAAATGAGTCATGATTTTATGCTTTATTAAGTAGGATCTATAATCCTAAAGATTGTACCCTTAATCCTAGAATGTGTTGTCTTAACTCCTGTGATGTAATATTTGTTTCCAATAGAAAGTCTAAGGTACTTGGTGGCATCTCTGTACTCTATCTTATCTGAAACTCTCGTATCTCTTATCCTGTTCTCTGACACACCATTCAGCTTTTGACCCAAAGTAGGCAATCTCTGCTTGGCCTCGTAAAGCCTTTCCCTGTGTGTGGGCAGCTCAGCTCTTGTTCAAGGATCCTGCTATGGAGGACCCACGCTGTCCAAGCCCTTGTTCAGGGAATCATGCTGTAAGACATCCATGCAGATTTCTTTGGCACTCCCCACCTGTTTCCATGTAACTTTCTCTTCTCAGCTACCCTTCTGTGCAAATTCCAACTGCCTCAGCATCCTAGAACACTTATTTTTGAATTGTCAACTCACAGAGAATGTTGCTCCACTTGGGTCCACCTTCTCTGCTTTGTACAAGGAAAGTGCCTTCAGACAAAAAGCCACCACAATCACAAGGATCACCTTGTTTGTCTCCCTTCTCTCAAGAGTCAGCATCCTGTACTGTTTGCTGTCCAATGGCTCATATATTTTGTCTAATTTTATAGTTGTTTTCAGTGGAAGGAAACATCTAATGCCAGTTACTCTGTCACGGCTGGAAGGAGAGCACTCTGGAATTTTGGATAACAAATTCATTGCCACCCAAAATTCTACACCCAGTCACCATATGATTTATGTACAAGGCCAGCTGAAAGCGTTATACTTGCTAAGACTCAGAAAACATACCACCATATGTATCTTTCCTTAACAAAAATGCAAAGCTCTGCAACCTCCAAAAATGTGCAAAAACTCAATTATATTTAAGGTAAAATATAGAAATAATAAAGAAAGGAATAGAACTTGTAAAATTTGAGTTTTTTTCTAAATAACTATTGATGTAATTATAAAATATAATGCAAAGTAGAAATTTAAACTTTGAAAGAGAAGATATGAAGTAAAAATACTGAATATTTTTATGAGACTCAATTTATGTATCATCCACACAATTTTACTAGATCCAAAATATGTGACCTTTATCTAGCCTTCTGGCTGGAACAATCCTAATAATTTCTTATATTTTGCTGGTGGTCATGGAGTCAGATTGCCAATGCAATCATCACTGTGGTTTAAAGGGGTCCACTGTGACATCTACTTTCCGTTGTTCATATACTAACACTGCATGTTATCTGCATATTTCTGCCACACGTAACTTGTTTCCTGTCTCAAGGTTTCTCTGTTGCTGCTAAGACACAAGAGGTCATGGGACCTGCCCAGCACCCACAAATGCCCAATTCAGAGTAGAGGGTGTTGAGGCTGAGTGGGGAAATCTTTCACCAATAGAATAAGGTTTCAAAGGTAACATTCTCCCTTTTTTCTTCTGGATGGATTGTTTAGAAAGGCAAAATGTTCTTACTGCTGCTCTGATGATGTCCTGTGAGAAAAAGCAATCAACTTGACATGAACCTGAGACCACTTCAGCAACACACTCACTCACATTTACTCTTTCTCCTTTTCTGCCTCATTCCAATTTTCTTTCCCTTCTGCTTCCCTGGGATTGCATTCTCCAGCCTGACCTTTTTCTTTACAGTAAGATAATGATAACATAGATCTAAAAACTGAGGTTATATTAAAATAAAGGTGTTCTAGGGAAATAAGAAGAATGTGAACACATTTTAAAACACTTGTCATAATATGGAGGAATCAATGAATACTGTTTCATTTTTGCCATCAGTAAAAAAAAGTAGATGTTTTAAGAGAGATAAAAGTCATTGTTATGAAAATAACGTAACTTTTTGTCACTTAAAAATATATCAAAGGAAACTTGGAAAAGATAGCAAAATAGAGAATAAAAAGGGGAGAGGACAAGCAAGAAACAGCAGAAAGGAGGAAAAACAAAATACAAACTATATCATAAGAGGATAATTTTTCTGAGTATTTACACAGTGCTCACGCTGCTCTTGAGACTGTGGATAAATGAATCAAATTGGATATAGACCGCAGTCTCTGATACTGGAAGAAACAGAAATTAAGCAAATAGTTAAATAAATAAGCGTGTAATTGCATACCACAAGATTGTCATGAGTGAAAGCCGCACTTTTATGTGAATCTATAATGGGGCTCTGACCTAGCCTCAGTGGTTAGCAAAGGCTTCCTTCAGCCCATATTGTTCAGAGACCTGAAAGGTAACAGAAAAAGACCAGCTCAAGAGCTAGCCTATGCAGACACCCTGGGCCTCAGCTGGAGGAACGCTCCAGCTGAAGGAAAGGCAAGGTAGCTGCAGTCCAGAGGGCCTAGGGGCTGGGGAGCAGGCTTTTAGGCTGTATACAAGGCCTTGCCAATGAGAGATTGTGAAGCCACAGACAGAGTTTAGAAAACGTAAAACCCATTAAGCAACATACCACGAATTTATTAAAAAACAAATAAACATTCTGTTCCGATGTTGTGGAATACAAATATATAACATTAGGAATGAGGAAGAGGAGAATTTCAATTTATTATAAAATATGTATAAATAAATAATATGAAAAATAAAAATGTATTATATGTTTATGAAAATCATTATGAAATAGAAAATTTTCTAAGAAAATATGAATTATGGCAACTGACTTTTTAAGTGGAGAAACTGCATAGTCCAATACAGCATACAAAATGGGAGGAAAGAGAAAATTGTCAAATTATCTACAAAGTTTGTTGTAGGTCTAGATGATTTGGATATAATTTTATTCAAACTTTTTATTTTTTATTTTTTTTATTTTGAGAGGGAGTTTCACTCTTGTTACCCAGGCTGGAGTATGATGGTGTGATCTCGGCTCACTGCAACCTCTGCCTCCTGGGTTCAAGCGATTCTTCCGCCTCAGCCTCCCAAGTAGCTGGGATTACAGAATCAACTAAAAAATGATTATAGCAAAAGCTCTTAGCAGAGTGGTTAGTTATCAAAGAAATATACAGAAAATATTTGCTAGACACCTGAAACTAACCAGTTGATAATGCAATAAACAAAAAATATCATTCAAAATTGAAACAAAAATATTTAAATATCTAAAAATGAAAACTTCAAAACTAAACAAGACCTATAAGGAGAACACTATAAAATTTTAACAAAGAACTTAAAAAAATCAAAGGTGTAGAAGGCCATCATAAGTAAAAATTAACCTTAAAAACATAAAATTAAATATTTATAAAGTAAAATGTAAATATATTAAATATATCTAATAGAACATATTAATGTAAATATAATATACAACATTTTACTTATACACCAAAATGGTTGTTTGTTTGCAAATTATACAAATTTGTAAATTTTTTAAAATGGAATAGTACTGAAAAACCTAAAGGGAAAGATTAAATCTCTCAGATGATTACTATCCAGAAGTATCTACTGTTATAATTTGAAATTCTTTTCAGACACTACCACTGGCATATACTTACCTACATGTACATGGTAGCTGTGTGATAGATGCTGTTTTGCATTCTTATTTTTATTTTTACTTATTTATTTATTTATTCATTTATTTATTTTTTGAGACAGAGTTTCATTCTTGTGGCCCAGACTGGAGTGCAATGGCACGATCTCAGCTCACTGCCGCCTCCGCCTCCCAGGTTCAAGCGGTTCTCCTGCCTCAGCATCCTGAGTAGCTGGGATTACAGGCGTGTGCCACCACCCCCAACTAATTTTTGTATTTTTAGTAGAGACAGGGTTTCACCATGTTGGCCAGGCTGGTCTCGAACTCCTGACCTCAGGTGATCTGTCCACCTTGGCCTCCCAAAGTGCCAGAATTACAGGCTTGAGCCACTGCGGCCAGCCCAATTCTTCTTTTTAAACCAACAATATATCCAGAACATCTTTCCATGCAAGCAACTGTAGATCTACCCCATTATTTTAATGGCTGCATGTTATTCTATTGCATTCTGTTATTGATAGCCATCTAGATTGGTTAAATTTTTCAGTATTTTAAACATTACTGCAATGAATAACTTTTGCCTCAGTGCCTTGCATAGGCCACACATGTAATAAACAGAGTGGACAGCAGTCAGACTCACAAAGCCCAGACTCTTAAACCCTCTAAACTTCTGTGATGATCTACTGAAGGAAAGGAGATTTTAGACTAAGAGTTATGGCAATCTTTGCAATTCTGGTGACTTTAAGTGACTTCATTATAAACAAAATTAAAATACAAATGGCAAACTTAGAAGAAATAATTGCATTATAAAAGGTTAATAATGTTGATATGAGTTTTAATTAGGACATGCTCAAGGTATACTTTAATCAGAGTAGGTCAGGGTATGCTGTGGAAGCAAATTTCAATGACTTAGTAGAACAAAAGTTTGTGGGGGTTTTGCCCTCATTAATGATGCGTATCCAACATGTATTGGTGAGGGGCTTTGCTCCACAAAGTCACTCAGGAGACCAGGTTGACAGACATTCAATGATCTTTGGATGTCACACCAAGTAACCAGTGCATGTCATCCTGGATCACTGTAGAAGAAACAAGAGAGTGTGGAAAATGGAAACCTGCTCTTAAATGCTTTGGCCACCTCGCCTCACAGCCCTTGGCTAGAACTCACTGCATGATCCTGCTTAACTGCAAGGGGCCTGGGAAAGTATGTTCCTCCCAAGTGTTCAGAAAGAAAAGAGAACCAAATGTTAATGAGCATTGAAAACCTCCATCACAATCTGTTTTTCTAGTCATCAAGTACTCAACTAATTCTTCCACAAAACGAAACAAAACAGAATAACCTCTTTACCTAGGATGAAATCCTTAAGCAACCTCCAGTCACTGAATCCAAATACAATCCTGGGTCTCAAGGTGAGGGCAATAGTCTCTCCATCAGACCGGTCTCCTCTTGGTCCTCGGTCCTATTAATGGCAAAGACAAGTCATTTGCCTTCCACCTGCATCATCATACAGTGGTGAAATGGGCCGGTTCACAGCATTCATCGCTCCATTTGGAATGAAGAAGGATGGAGACACAGAATCACCAGTAATTCTGAACTCCAAAATCACCAGCAATTCTAAACACAGTGTCTGACCTGGGCAGACACTGTGATGCCTGGGAGGACTGGTGTAGAGGGGAGCTCCTGGCAAACCCTCACTCTGCTGTCACAGAAGGGCTCTCCTGTCCCTTATTCTGTAGCTCTTAGTTCTGCCTTCCAGACATTCTCCTTGGTCATATCTGAAGTAGGAGTTGCAGAATATGTCCTCCTTGGGACCTGAACAACTTTCTCAGAACACTTCTAGCTTACAGATCATTAGAATTAGATTTTCCAAACTGGGTAATTCAATAAAATGTTATTCCAGGAAAAGATACTTTCCCTCCTTAGAATAATTTTGATGCCAATTAATAATAAATTACTCTTTTTTTAACCCATATCATTTGTAACAGGGAAAATTCAAAGCAATCTAAATTCAAAACAATCTCAACATTCAATAATAGGGAACTTATTAAATTAATTAATGTACATGCATGAGTCTATTGTACATCTGTGTAAATCTATGTGTCTATTGTACATCTATGTGTCTATTATTATTATTAAACAATAGGGATTATGAAGCTGTCTATGTGATGCTATCTTTTCAATGAAAAAGAATGAAGAAAAGAAACTGCAGTCTGCCCTGAGCAGCTCCATTTCTGCAGAGAAGTTCCCTTCACCGCATCCGTCTTCTGCCAAACTGAAGGTTGCTCCAGGCCACTGAGTTGCCTGCCATCCAAAGGGGGTGGGCGGGATTGGAAGGAGGCTGTGGCAGCTCTGTTCCCTGTTCACCTCCCCCTGCCAGGGAAGGCAGTACCCTCTCTGCCAAGGGCCCTCTGTGTATTCCCTTCTCTCTGAGGAATTGAAATTTTTGTCTCTGGTGCACGTAAAGCAGAATGTTCCCTGACACCAGTGTGTGGATTTTTAACATCGCCGTGAGTCTGAAAGGACCACAGGTTTTTCTGCAGCTATTTTCTAGCATTTGCCAGTCCCTGTGCCTGGACTGATTTGAATACTTTGTTTCTCTCCCTGTACCATTTACCCTCCCACCTTTCCATCCTGCCTCCTACCACCCTTGGATAAATGGATTTTGTAATTCTAGCTGTTGTATTTTGTGGATTTGTTATTTTTGTTGTTTTTCTGTGAAGCACATACATTGGAAATGGGAGGTAAAGAGTGTCCCAGTTGCTCCTGGTCACTCCCTTTATAGCCATTACTGTCTTGTTTCTTGTAACTCAGGTTAGGTTTTGGTCTCTCTTGCTCCACTGCAAACAAACAAACAAACAAAAATCCTGAAGAGATGAGATAGGAGGAAAGACCTCACAGCCGTCTGCTGGGTTTGAGGGAGTGATTTTCTTCCTTCCCTTTGAAGGGGAGAAAGCTATTTTCACTGGTACATTTAAAGTCCCCCAACTATGGGGAGGTACCAATTCTGGACAAGTGCCACTGCAACAACACTAAACCTGAACTTTTCAACTCTGTTGAAGGTGGGAAGGCAGCGGGCAGAAATCTACTATTGGCCACTGCCAGGTCTGTTTCATATTTCAAAGGAATATTGGGTGCTGCAAATAGGAACTGAAGGGGTAAATGTATTAAACCTGTGATTATTTGATGTTTTCCTGCCATTTTAAGAAATTAAATGTTGGGGGCAGATATCAAAATACTTGTACAATTTTAAAATGTCACAAGTAAACCTGAGCTGGTTTCCAAAAAAAAAAGAAAGAAAGAAAATAAAATCTAGAAATGTCTTCATAATTGACTAGAAATCTCTTTAAAACTGACCTCTTTTTAACTCTGTGAAGTGGGCTAAGGTTTGCTTAGTTGTTTTTGTTTTCTTCCGTTTCTTTATACTTATCTGTAAAATCTAATGTTTTTGTGGTAAATATAAATTTATTGTGTAAAATACAAATATTTGAATGTAAGGAATTTTCAAAAATTCTTCTGTCACCTTGAATGTATTGACAAAGTCTATGAATGCCTCAGTAGATCCCATGTTGTGTAATTAGTACGACAACTTCTACAGAAACACATGATATATTGGGTTCTCAAGTGACTACATGGAATGCTTGACCATTTAGCTAGTTAAAGACTCCCCTGCTCTTGGAAAGCATGTGGTGTGTGTGCCTGTGTGTAAGAGAGAGAGGGAGGTGGGGCAGTGGGAAAGGAGTGACAGAGACTAAGCTTGCACATTTTAACAGGTGTTAGACATTTCCCCAGGAGGTAAGGTCCTGCAGTGTGCTATGGTGAAAAGATGGTAGGGGCTGAAATAATAAGTAAGTTACAGACAGCTCAAGCTCTATGCTTGAAAGCAACCTTAACATGGGTTATTCCTTCAATCTATCCAAGATTCTATTTTATCTCCTATAAAATCATGACACGTAATAATAACTGCCTGACAGGGTTTGGGTGAGAACCAGAGGTGATGACGCAGTTGAAAACATCTTGTAATCTGTAAATTACCTTACCTAAGGATTCATTTCTACTCCTTCTAGTCTCCTTAGCAAATACCACAGGGCTTAGCACACAGGAGGCACTCAATTAATACTAAAAATTGCTTCTTTATAGATTTTAGAGGACCTAAATAATGCCAAAATCCAACAAATAAAACCATGTAAAATCAGGTTATTGACGTTTCTGTTATTTTTTTTATTTTGTTATTATTATACTTTAAGTTTTAGGGTACACGTGCACAATGTGCAGGTTAGTTACATATGTATACATGTGCCATGCTGGTGTGCTACACCCATTAACTCGTCATTTAGCATTAGATATATCTCCTAAAGCTATCCCTCCCCTGTCCCCCCACCCCACAACAGTCCCCAGAGTGTGATGTTCCCCTTCCTGTGTCCATGTGTTCTCATTGTTCATTTCCCACCTATGAGTGAGAATATGCGGTGTTTGGTTTTTTGTTCCTGCAATAGTTTACTGAGAATGATGATTTCCAACTTCATCCATGTCCCTACAAAGGACATGAACTCATCATTTTTTATGGCTGCATAGTATTCCATGGTGTATATGTGCCACATTTTCTTAATCCAGTCTATCGTTGTTGGACATTTGGGTTGGTTCCAAGTCTTTGCTATTGTGAATAGTGCCACAATAAACATACGTGTGCATGTGTCTTTATAGCAGCATGATTTATAGTCCTTTGGGTATATACCCAGTAATGGGATGGCTGGGTCAAATGGTATTTCCAGTTCTAGATCCCTGAGGAATCGCCACACTGACTTCCACAATGGTTGAACTAGTTTACAGTCCCACCAACCGTGTAAAATGTTCCTATTTCTCCACATCCTCTCCAGCACCTGTTGTTTCCTGACTTTTTAATGATCGCCATTCTAACTGGTGTGAGATGGTATCTCATTGTGGTTTTGATTTGCATTTCTCTGATAGCCAGTGATGGTGAGCATTTTTTCAAGTGTTTTTTTGGCTGCATAAATGTCTTCTTTTGAGAAGTGTCTGTTCATGTCCTTCGCCCACTTTTTGGTGGGGTTGTTTGTTTCTTTCTTGTAAATTTGTTTGAGTTCATTGTAGATTCTGGATATTAGCCCTTTGTCAGATGAGTAGGTTGCAAAAATTTTCTCTCATTTTGTAGGTTGCCCGTTCACTCTGATGGCAGTTTCTTTTGCTGTGCAGAAGCTCTTTAGTTTAATTAGATCCCATTTGTCAATTTTGGCTTTTGTTGCCATTGCTTTTGGTGTTTTAGACATGAAGTCCTTGCCCATGCCTATGTCCTGAATGGTACTGCCTAGGTTTTCTTCTAGGGTTTTTATGGTTTTAGGTCTAACGTTTAAGTCTCTAATCCATCTTGAATTAATTTTTGTATAAGGTGTAAGGAAGGGATCCAGTTTCAGCTTTCTACCTATGGCTAGCCAGTTTTCCCAGCACCATTTATTAAATAGGGAATCCTTTCCCCATTGCTTGTTTTTCTCAGGTTTGTCAAAGATCAGATAGCTGTAGATATGCGGCATTATTTCTGAGGGCTCTGTTGTGTTCCATTGATCTATATCTCTGTTTTGGTACCAGTACCATGCTGTTTTGTTTACTGTCGCCTTGTAGTATAATTTGAAGTCAGGTAGCGTGATGCCTCCAGCTTTGTTCTTTTGGCTTAGGATTGACTTGGTGATGCGGGCTCTTTTTTGGTGCCATATGAACTTTAAAGAAATTGTCTCTCAGACCACAGTGCAATCAAGCTAGAACTCAGGATTAAGAAACTCACTCAAAACCTCTCAACTACATGGAAACTGAACAACCTGCTCCTGAATGACTACTGGGTACATAATGAAATGAAGGCAGAAATAAAGATGTTCTTTGAAACCAATGAGAGCAAAGACACAATATGCCAGAATCTCTGGGACACATTCAAAGCAGTGTGTAGAGGGAAATTTATAGCACTAAATGCCCACAAGAGAAAGCAGGAAAGATCCAAAATTGACACCCTAACATCTTTTAATTAACAATTAAAAGAACTAGAAAAGCAAGAGCAAACACATTCAAAAGCTAGCAGGAGGGAAGACATAACTAAAATCAGAGCAGAACTGAAGGAAATAGAGACACAAAAAACCCTTCAAAAAATTAATGAATCCAGGAGCTGGTTTTTTGAAAGGATCAACAAAATCGATAGACCGCTAGCAAGACTAATAAAGAAGAAAAGAGAGAAGAATCAAACACATGCAATAAAAAATGATAAAGGGGATATCACCACCAATCCCACAGAAATACAAACTACCATCAGAGAATACTACAAACACCTCTACACAAATAAACTAGAAAATCTAGAAGAAATGGATAAATTCCTCAACACATACAACCTCCCAAGACTAAACCAGGAAGAAGTTGAATCTCTGAATAGACTAATAACAGGCTCTGAAATTGTGGCAATAATCAATAGCTTACCAACCAAAAAGAGTCCAGGACCAGATGGATTCACAGCCGAATTCTACCAGAGGTACAAGGAGGAACTGGTACCATTCCTTCTGAAACTATTCCAATCAATAGAAAAAGAGGGAATCCTCCCTAACTCATTTTATGAGGCCAGCATCATCCTGATACCAAAGCCGGGCAGAGACACAACCAAAAAAGAGAATTTTAGACCAATATCCTTGATGAACATTGATGCAAAAATCCTCAATAAAATACTGGCAAACCGAATCCAGCAGCACATCAAAAACCTTATCCACCATGATCAAGTAGGCTTCATCCCTGGGATGCAAGGCTGGTTCAATATATGCAAATCAATAAATATAATCCAGCATGTAAACAGAACCTAAGACAAAAACCACATGATTATCTCAATAGATGCAGGAAAGGTCTTTGACAAAATTCAAACAACTCTTCATGCTAAAAACTCTCAATAAATTAGGTATTGATGGGACGTATCTCAAAATAATAAGAGCTACCTATGACAAACCCACAGCCAATATCATACTGAATGGGCAAAAACTGGAAGCATTCCCTTTGAAAACTGGCACAAGACAGGGATGCCCTCTCTCACCACTCCTATTCAACATAGTGTTGGAAGTTCTGGCCAGGGCAATTAGGCAGGAAAAGGAAATAAAGGGTATTCAATTAGGAAAAGAGGAAGTCAAATTGTCCCTGTTTGCAGATGACATGATTGTATATCTAGAAAACACCATTGTCTCAGCCGAAAATCTCCTTAAGCTGATAAGCAACTTCAGCAAAGTCTCAGGATACAAAATCAATGTACAAAAATCACAAGCATTCTTATACACCAATAACAGACAAACAGAGAGCCAAATCATGAGTGAACTCCCATTCACAATTGCTTCAAAGAGAATAAAATACCTAGGAATCCAACTTACAAGGGACATGAAGCACCTCTTCAAGGAGAACTACAAACCACTGCTCAATGAAATAAAAGAGGACACAAACAAATGGAAGAACATTCCATGCTCATGGGTTGGAAGAATCAATATCGTGAAAATGGCCATACTGCCCAAGGTAATTTATAGATTCAATGCCATCCCCATCAAGCTACCAATGACTTTCTTCACAGAATTGGAAACTACTTTAAAGTTCATATGGCACCAAAAAAGAGCCCGCATCACCAAGTCAATCCTAAGCCAAAAGAACAAAGCTGGAGGCATCACGCTACCTGACTTCAAACTATACTACAAGGCGACAGTAAACAAAACAGCATGGTGCTGGTACCAAAACAGAGATATAGATCAATGGAACACAACAGAGCCCTCAGAAATAATGCCGCATATCTACAGCTATCTGATCTTTGACAAACCTGAGAAAAACAAGCAATGGGGAAAGGATTCCCTATTTAATAAATGGTGCTGGGAAAACTGGCTAGCCATAGGTAGAAAGCTGAAACTGGATCCCTTCCTTACACCTTATACAAAAATTAATTCAAGATGGATTAGAGACTTAAATGTTAGACCTAAAACCATAAAAACCCTAGAAGAAAACCTAGGCAGTACCATTCAGGACATAGGCATGGGCAAGGACTTCATGTCTAAAACACCAAAAGCAATGGCAACAAAAGCCAAAATTGACAAATGGGATCTAATTAAACTAAAGAGCTTCTGCACAGCAAAAGAAACTACCATCAGAGTGAACAGGCAACCTACAAAATGAGAGAAAATTTTTGCAACCTACTCATCTGACAAAGGGCTAATATCCAGAATCTACAATGAACTCAAACAAATTTACAAGAAAAAAACAAACAACCCCATCAAAAAGTGGGCGAAGGACATGAACAGACACTTCTCAAAAGAAGACATTTATGCAGCCAAAAAACACGTGAAAAAATGCTCACCATGACTGGCTAACAGAGAAATGCAAATCAAAACCACAATGAGATACCATCTCACACCAGTTTAGAATGGCGATCATTAAAAAGTCAGGAAACAACAGGTGCTGGAGAGGATGTGGAGAAATAGGAACATTTTACACTGTTGGTGGGACTGTAAACTAGTTCAACCATTGTGAAAGTCAGTGTGGTGATTCCTCAGGGATCTAGAACTGGAAATACCATTTGACCCAGCCATCCCATTACTGGGTATATACCCAAAGGACTATAAATCATGCTGCTATAAAGACACATGCACACATATGTTTATTGTGGCACTATTCACAATAGCAAAGACTTGGAACCAACCCAAATGTCCAACAACGATAGACTGGATTAAGAAAATGTGGCACATATACACCATGGAATACTATGCAGCCATAAAAAATGATGAGTTCATGTCCTTTGTAGGGACATGGATGAAACTGGAAATCATCATTCTCAGCAAACTATCGCAAGGACAAAAAAACCAAACACCGCATATTCTCACTCATAGGTGGGAATTGAACAACGAGAACACATGGACACAGGAAGGGGAACATCACACTCCGAGGACTGTTGGGGGGTGGCGGGAGTGGCAGGGATAGCATTAGGAGATATACCTAATGCTAAATGACTAGTTAATGGGTGCAGTACACCAACATGGCACATGTATACATATGTAACAAACCTGCACATTGTGCACATGTACCCTAAAACTTAAAGTATAATAATTATAAAATAAAATAAAATAAAAAAGAAATAATAGAGATCCCCTCTTTACTCAGTTTACCCAAGTGGTAACATCTTACAAAATATAGTACAATATCACAACCAGAATATTCATTTTAATATAATCTACTGATCTTACTTAGATTTTCCGAGCTTTACTTGTGTGTGTGTGTGTGTGTGTGTGCGCACATGTATTTCTACAAAATGTTATCACATGTGTAAGTTCATATATCTACCAGCATAGTCAACAAATCGAATAGTTCTGTCGCCGCAAGTATTCCTTGTGTTGCCTTTTTCTCCTCTCTCACACCTGCCCCCTGCAACCTTTAATGATTGGCACTTTTTCACTTAGGAAAATTCCCTAGAGTTTCATCCAAGTTGGTGTATGCATCAATAATATCCTCCTTTTTGTTGTTAAGAAGTATTCTATGGTATAAACATACCACAGTTTGTTTAACCATTCACCTATAGAACTATACCTTGATTGTTTTGCATTTGGGGATATTAAAAATAAGGTCATTACAAATCTTTGTGTACAGACTTTTGTACAAGAAAAATTTTCATTTTTCTGAGATAAATGCCCCAAAGTGCAATTGTTGGGTCATGTGGTAATTGCATGTTGAGTTCTATAAAAAACTGTGGAACTGTTTTCAGAGTGGATGTAACATTTAACATTCCCACCAGCAGTGTATGAGTCATCAAGCATCTCTTCTTCCTCATCAGCATTTGGCATTGTCACTATTTCTTATTTTAGGCATCTATAGGTGTGCATTTCGGTTTCCATTTAAATTTCCGTGATGTTTAATGATGCTGAACTTATTTCACATACTTATTTGCCCTCTGATTTTTCTCTCTTTTTCAGTTCTTGCCTTTCTGTGAGTTGCTTGAACACTTTTTAGAAGTCATTCTTGACTCATTTATTGTGTTTCATGTATATTGGTGTGTGTAGTTTTGTTGTGGTTGCTCTGTGTGTTACAATATACACTTATGACTTATCACAGTCTACTGGTGTCAGTGTTTTGCCACTTGAATTGAAGTATGGAAACCTTACTTCCATTTAGGTCACTTCATCTACCCCACTTTTAAATATCATTGTCTTGAGCATTAGGATTGTAATTTTTATTTCAATCTTGCATATGACTTATGAAACTTGTGAGGACAGTCTATTTGATTTATCCATATACAGTATCTGTCCTTTCTATTGTTCTTTCTTCTTTCTTAATGCTCTGAAATTCTTTCTTTTATAATTTCCTTTCGTTTTGAAGAAATTCCTCTAGCCATTCTTAAGGATATTTTGTGAATGACCCTAACTAGCTCACCTTCTGTTGTTAGGTTAGGGGTTGAGAGACACCTGGCCCGTGTCTCATTCTGTCATTGGGTGGGGAGTGTCAAGATGCCCACCACTATGTTGTTCCTCCTGTCCTGGGGCCCCCAACTAGCCCACCTTCCTCTATTCAGAGTTCTCTTTTGGTTACTTCTTGCACTGTTTCCAGGGTTGTAGTTGTACTTAGCAGAGAGGAGCAGGAGAAATGATTTTATGCCATCTTTATGCCCTCAGCATCACTTTTGAACCAAATCTTTAATTGGCAGTGTGTAGGACAAAGAAGAGTTACAGAGCATTTTGTTTGTTTTCTTTACATGTGTGTATGTATTCATTTGTGAATCAATAACAAATCCTTAAAATCAGAAGCATCCTCATAAAAGTCTACATTTCTGGATTCTCTGAGAAAATCTAATCTGGTCACCTGGGCCTGAACTTGGCAACAGCCAGCAGCAGGTGAGTAGGAGCATCCCTCCTCTGACCCGGCACCTGCACCACTCTCCTCTTTAGGTCCAGCTTCTTGAGCCATTTAAATCACCAGTCTGGCTCCTTGAGTTAACAAACCCTGACTTAGTCCACTAATGAAATCATAAGACTTTATAACTGCATTATACAAACACTTTCACATACATTCTTTTACTTAATTCTCACCATAAAAAACTGGCACTATTTAATCCCAATTCTAAATAATAGGTTCTGTTACTATCGTTCTATAGCTAAGGAGACTGGATTTCAGAATAAGGATATAACTTACCAAGGTCGTGGGGCTAATTAGTGGCAGAGTTGAGATTCCACCCTCATCTTCTGACACCAAGTCCAGTGCTCTTTACTTTCCTCCTACAGCAGACAAAAACCATGGAGGTGTCCCATAAATAATGCCACAAATCATCAATCTGCATTGCTTTCACACGTGACTGTCCTTTTTGAAAAGAGACTCATGGCCTCCTTCTCGGTCACCCATTTCCACCTATACTGTGTACTTACTTTGTCAGACCAATCAAACATACAAACACAACAAAAACTTCAGTTTTTGGTTTTTTTGTTTTGTTTGTTTGTTTGAGTCTCGCTCTGTCACCCAGGCTGGAGTGCAGTGGCACGATCTTGGCTCACTGCAAGCTCTGCCTCCCAGGTTCATGCCATTCTCCTGCCTCAGCCTCCCCAGTACCTGGGACTACAGGTGCCCGCCACCAAGCCCAGCTAATTTTTTTGTATTTTTAGTAGAGACGGGGTTTCACCATGTTAGCCAGGATGGTCTCAGTCTCCTGACCTTGTGATCTGCCTGCCTCAGCCTCCCAAAGTGCTGGGATTACAGGCGTGAGCCACTGCACCCAGCCCAGTTTTTGTTAATAATAGATATGAATTAATTAGAAAGGTCATATTCAAGATAATAGATATTAATTAATTTAGAAAGATCATATTCAGGCTTACCTACCATACCCTGGGGGTACTCTACTCTACCGAGTGCAGGCAGAATAGCTAGCCTGTAATCCTAGCTACTCTGGGGGTGCTGAGGCAGGTGGAGTGCTTGAGCCCATGAGTTCAAGACTACAGTTAGCTAGGATGGTACAACCGTACACCAGCCTGGGTGACAGAGCGAGACTTCATCTCTAGTATATATATAAAGGTTGAGGCAGACTGCTTTACTGACACTGAGGTTGGTGGGATGGGTATAAACAAACTGCAACACATGTTCCCCTATCCGTAGTAATTCTAAATCTAGTCTAGGAGCTTAAACTAGCACACTTTCAAACAATCAGAAAAAAAATGTTACAATAATGGGAAAAAATCTCATTTGTATGGGTTTGCATGGAGAAGAGCTATTGGAGTGCAGGGAAAGTTGAGACACTTAAGACTTAATGATTTATTCTGTAGTATCTATTTCCTATAAAAGAATGACCTTTGATAAAAACCACTGGGAGAAGAGAAGGAACCAGAAGCATCTTAGAAACACCATGAATAATGGTTCCTTGGGCATGATTTTTCTGGTGTCATTGCTACAAGCCCAGCCCAATGACAGGTTTTCCTGAGGGGTAGATAAAGAATAACACAATCCTTGCAACCATGCAGCCAGCACAAACTAAAAATAAGCATCAAGGCTCAGACAGACAAGATCCAATGTTCTTCCCAAGTAGGGAAGCAGTCTGCTTGAGCAGGATGAGAGGAAAGAAAGCAGGTGAAGCATTAGAAGGAACAACAATCAAGCAAACTCCAGGGGCACTGTTGTTTTGAATTATGGCTACAAATTCTGGGATACTCCTTCCTATGTTCAATTCCCTTGAAATTGCAGGCTTGTGACCACTTCAACCAATAGATTATGACAGCAGGGGTGCAGGGTGACTTCCAAGGCTAGGCCATAGTGGCTGTGCTCAAGCACTTATTCCTGGTGTCCTGAGATGCCACACTGGATGGGCCTCACATGGGCACAGTCAAGCCCCAGCTGAGCCCAGCCTCCAGCCATTTCTGCCCAAGTGTCAGACATGGAGAGGTTTCCAGAGAATTCCAGCCCCCAGCCATTCTAATCACCCCCCCGCTAACTATTCAAGTCTTTCCAGCTGAGACCTTAGATATCATAGAGCAAAGAAAATCCATGCAGGCTGCATCCTCTCTAAATTCCCATTTGTTGCATTTGTTTGGAGGCCTCAGGCGGTCCCAGTTAACCAGCTTTCTCAGGGTGACTTTTCCCCTTGGGTCTCATTCACAACAAAGATGAGTCTTAGGCAGTGTCTGATGTTCACACAGTTTATGCTGGCAGTGCTCTCACAGCATGAACAACAGGAACAGGCCAGTGGCACAGGCCAGATACAGTCAGGGGTCCGAGGACCTCCAGACTGAGAGATTCTCCATACAGAAACTAATTTCAGAGTTTGGGAGATTCTTCCCCATTTCTTATTCCTGTGTTCAATCCAAGTCAGTTACCAGGTATTTCTTTCATAAAGGGAATCTAAGCTGTTCTTGTAAGGGGAAGCTTTATTTTAAGGTTCATGATAGTTGGATCTGTGCTGAGGTGGTCTTGCCTCCTGGAAATCTCCAGTCTAGGCTGCATGACACTGCTAAGTGACACATAGGGTAGGCCCTACAAGATATTTGCAAGGGCCTTATGGCTGTCATTATTCTTATAGTCACAATATGTCTATTATAGTATACTACACATATGTAAATTGTTGCCGTTTTAAGTCATTGAGTTTTGAGGTAGTCTGTTATGCTTCAGTAATAACCAGAACACAGAGTGAAGATAAATGACAAAATAGAGGAGAAAGAGGCACATTTAATACCAAGACACTGCAGGCAGTAGAGTTAGGCGTGACCCCAGGACACAGCCAAAATGTAAAAAGGAAAGTGAATGATAAGAAACAATATTAGCCTCTAAGGATTAATTATCTATACTGCAAACCAATTTCTGGATGCTAGTAACACATGTAAATGGCTACCATCACATCAATCATGAAGGTATGAGATTATTCTCCAAGGAAGTACCAACTGGACATTGTATATTTTTTCTATACAACGAAGACAGCTTTCTCTTTTGCCAGACTCAACCTTCCCAGACCCTCTTTGGCCTGCAGCATCAGCCTCACAAAGCCTCCTGGTGAATGCTCTTCAACACACCCAGTTATCAGGAAGCTGGACTCCACCAGCCTTGGGGGCTCTGGGTTCTGTGAGCCCCCCCATCCCAGAGCTGCTCCACACCTTGAAGATTCAGTCCATCTGACTGTGTGTCCAGCAACCCAGCTTGGGACAACTGCCCTCGTGTCTTGGACTTCTACATCCCACTGAAAAGTTAGCACCCCTTCACCTGTGTGAGCTGGACCCTGCCCCACTTCAACTCCTGGCTGGCATCTTGCATGTACCAGACACACCGTCTGACCTGGATGCTTTCGCAGGGTGGGGCCAGAGTCCTCCCGCCCCTTTGCATGTCTCTAGAGTGGACAACTGGCTACCCCACTTCAGATAACTGCTCTGAAGTTCAGTTAGTCCTCCAAGCCCCCATACCAGCTTCCTCTAGCTGCACAGTGACCTGCCTTGCAGCAAAGCCACCAAAGTTGTGACAACTCTTGCAGAAAGTGAAACATCCCAACAACCACATTTGCCCACCTGGATCCATTGTGAAACCTCTTTTCTTTTAAGCACTTCCTTTGGTGACTCCCCCAACACCACTGAGGGAAGTCCAACGTATGCCAGCTCAGTGCTTCCTTGATTTACTTGTGGCAGCCTGCAAAGCAAGCCTGCCTCTATGGAGCTGTTTATCTAAGTGGGTCATTTAAGTTCAGATTGCCAGTTAATACCTGTGGAGCTGAGTCCCAGCTTACTCAGCTCTGGGACTAGCGGAAAGACTTAATAGACCTCAACCTCTCACAGGTTGGCAGTTTAAGCAGAAATTTCCAAATCTGCCAAAGGAACAGCTTTGCTGCTTCAGTTGCTAGAAGGGGGAACCAAGTGGAGAACGTGATGGCCTATTAACCCTTCTGCCAAGAAAACTGGGTTGCAAGGTTAAGGAGCAGTGCCTCAAGGGTCACAGGCATCTGCGGATACCTCCTGTGGTCCAGTGATAAGCATCAGAGAAACGCCCAACAATGCACTCGTTCTTTCTCCTAGAGAGAGGGGAGGGGGAGGCGGTCTGAGTGGGTGGGAGGAGAACTTCTGAGGCTTGATTGAGCCCCATTGTGAAGCTGTCGGGGAAGATTGCACAGCTGGGCTAAGTGTTGTATTCAGCAAAGCACATGATGGACACTGCTTTTGTACCAGGGACACTTCAATCAGCACGGAGCCTTAGACAGCTGAGAAAATTAAAGCCTTTTCAAGCCCTTTCACAACACACCTGATTTCTGCGTTAAAGTTGGGGGTGGATGGGCAGTGTGTTGGGTAATTGCCAGCCCTGAATGTCACCATAGGCGACAGGCTCACTCTGATCTTCTCAGACAATGGGGGAAAGCCAGCCCTCCCGATATTTAGGCAGCCCCGTGCGCTAGTGATAGCCATTGGCCTCAGAAGAGGCATGCTGGGCCATGATCCCACTAACTTTCAGCCCCAACTTCACCTTGCATTGAAGGGTAGGATCCAGAGATTTCTGACCCCAAGTCACAGGACTGAGCTGTCAGGGAAGCCAGCTGATTTGGCAGCAGAATTCTCCCCAGACAGCAAGCAGCAAGTACCAAGCAGTGAGGAGGGAGAGGTGAGTCTGGTGTTCTGTAGGAAACAGCTAGGGTGGCCCATCATCAGATCCACAGGATGTAGGTAATCCACATTCTGATCAGGCTGATGGTTCTTTTGAGGGAAACTGAAGGTGTTCTCAGCAGTTAGCAGGGAGGGCCAGGTGTCGTGGCAGTGGCCTGTCCTAGCAGTGCAAGCAGAGTGTTGAGAAGACCTGGACATCTAGTCTGCTCTGTGTGAGGTTCAGAACTAGGTGGCTTACACACTCAGTTTCTTGGAATCCTCATAGCAACCTAATTGACAGAAAAAAAAAAAACTGAGGTTCTGAGAAGTTTAGTGACATGCTCAAAGTCACACAGTTAATTACAGAGATGAAATTCAAACCTGCCTCTCTAAGACCCCTCAACGGTGTTTGGTTCATACAAAACCAAAGGAAGATGGTGATGCTCAGATCTTGCTGGGCTCAGGACTGCAATGCTGTTCTTCTAGGGAGATGGACCTTAAGTGAGGAAGCAGGGAGCCAGGCAGGAAAAAATCTGTCCTGCTAGAGATTAGCTGTAGGGGAGGCGGGGCAAAGCTCCTGCAGGTCCCCTGTGGCCCATGTCATTCTGGTGAAGCAGATATCAAAGTGGGGAGAGCAAGTATCTTCAGCTCCCCCATAACCTTCTATAATGTCTTCTGAAATATAATGCAATGCAAGATGGCACTCTCCTTGGCTCAGAGACCCCCTCACAGGGAGCCCTCTGAACACAGTATATGAAGCTGGCTGAAGCCAGGAGACACAGACTGGCAATCTGCCCACTTCATGCTTTGAAAAACTCAGGTATTCATGGAAATTCCTTAGAGGCATGGTCTCAACTCTCACCTTTGGCTCTGCATGCTCCAGATATTGATACTGATCAATACAAAAGACAAGAAGTGATAGCCCAACTCATTAATTATCTCCTCAGAGATGAGACTAGTTAGTTCTTCCATTACTTTGAAGTTATCCTTATCTCATCATCTCTTTGAGCAGATATCTTTCAGAGCCCTAGAAAGAACACAGGGTCTGCCTGAGGCCATGTATTTGAGCCCAATGCCTGTGACTGCTGTGGGGTTCCCATCCTTGCACTTGGACTCTTAACCTCCACAGAGCCTAGGTTGGGGGAAGTTGTCGTTACTCAGCATCCATTTGGAAGGTTGGCAGCAGCTGGAGCTAGCAGATCAAGTCTTCAATCCCAGGTCCTGCAGGAGCACAGCCAAGGCAGGATCCCTGCTGACACCGTGGCTGAGGTCAGCCCCAAGCTTCTCCAGCTCATTCCCGCCTTCAAGGATTTGCAGTTGCTGTTACCTCCCTCAGACCATTTTCTCCAGACTCTGGCTCAGCTGGCACCTTATTTTTATTCAGATGATAACTCAAATGTCACCTCTTTAGGGAGAGCTTATCCAACAACCTGAATTCTTTTTCTTCTTAGCACTTAACACTATCCAGGTTATCCTGTTCACAGGTTTGTGTGCATGTGCCTGTGTGTCTCTTTCACTAGGACATAGATTCTATGAAATCGGGGACCTCATTCCTCTCATTCATGGCTGCCTCACTGGGACCAACGACAATGCCTGCACAAATAGCCAGTGCTCAATAATACATGAAAATGCATTCAGAGGAATCTCAAATGCCACTGACAGTGTGGAATTTATGCTTCTGCCATTGGTCACAGGAGTGGAGATGAGGGCTAGCTCAGTAGAAGTTTCAGTGGCTCACTTTCAGTGTGAGTACAAAGGTGTATGCAGCAGAAAGCATGGTTCATGGCACAGTGACAGGCACAGTGGAGAGGCTCTTGGTATCAGCAGATAAGCCTGGGACCAAGGGTTGGAAGTAAATAAGGTCAGAATAGTGAAGCTCTTACCATAAGGCCCACATGTGAAAAAACACTCAATTTCTGGTGCAGAAGACTAAGGTGTCTGTCTTAGTCAACCTGGACTGTCATAACAAAATACCATGGAGTAGATGGCTTAAACCACAAACATTTATTTCTCACAGTTCTGGAGGCTGAAAGGTCAAGATCAGAGTGTCAGCATGGTCAGGTTCTGATGAGAGCTCTCTTCCTGGCTTACAGATGGCCACCTTCTCACTGTGCTCACATGGCCTTTCTTCCATACATGTGCATGGAGAGAGAGAGAGAGAGAGAGAGAGAGAAAGAGAGACAGAGAGAGAGAGAAGTCTGGTATCTCTTCTTCTAATAAGGCCACTAATCTTATTGGATTAGGCCGCTATCCTATAACCTCATTTAACTTTCATTACTTCCATAAAAGCCCTATCTCCAAATACAGTCACATTGGGGGTTAGGGTTTTTTCTTTGTTTTGCTTTTTTTATTTTTGTTTTTTGTTTTTTTGCTTTTTTGTGTGTGTTTTTTTGAGACGGAGTTTTGTTCTTGTTGCCCAGACTGGAGTGCAATGGCATGATCTCAGTTCACTGCAACCTCTGCCTCCTAGGTTCAAGAGATTCTCTTGCCTCAGCTTCCCAAGTAGCTGGGATTACAGGTGCGTGCCACCACGCCCAGCTAATTTTTTGTATTTTTAGTACAGACAGGGTTTCCCCATGTAGGCCAGGTTGGTCTCGAACTCCTGATCTCAGATGATCCACCACCTCCATCTCCCAAAGTGCTGGGATTACAGATGTGAGCCACCGCGCCCAGCCAGGGGGTTAGGGTTTTAACTTACAGATGTTGAGGGGACTCAACCCAGTTCTTAGCAGTGGTTAGGGCTACCTGGGGCCCCTGGCATATACTGCTCCAGCAATAGCCTCCCAGCTGGACTGACCATAGCACTAAGGAAGAGTGATGGCTAATCCCCCAGGAGGCATGTGCTGATCATGCTGAGACAGAGACAATACCACAATCCCAGATGGACACCCCCGGCCTCCTGGGATGAGTTGACAGGCCAAAGCCTACTGGAGCTGACCATCATGTGTCCAGCGTCAGGGTCCACATGCAAAGTGGCCTTCACTGAGGGCAAGGACGAACAAGACTCCAGTTGACAGCACCATTAGAAGTGCTGGATGGGCCCTAGCAAGGCTTCACTCAGAATGTCAAGTTGCTGGCACTGCTTACAAGAGGAGCAGGGTGAGAGGGCCATGAACCATGGGCAGTGGCAGAAGTCGAGGAAAGCCTTGGCATCTCCAGTCACGTTCACAGATGACAGGTAGGTAAAGGTGGTGACAGAAAAGACTTCCAGCCCCTTCAAAACAGCCCCGCAGGAGTGGCACCTCCTCAGGCATTTCCTAATAGGAGAAGTGGGCGATGAGGGCAGGAGAAGCAGTGCCTCCTACAGGGCAGCTCCAGCCTGCGTGCTCCTGCCCACGCCGGGTCCTTGGTGCCACTGCTAGAACGTGCAGGGCTACCAGTGCCAGACACTTTGGGTTGAGCCAAAAGAGCCCCCTCCCTTGCATCTGAAGACCCTTCAGCTGCCCACGGTAGGAGCCACGGAGGCCAGAGAGAAAGGAAAGGACATAGCACAGTTAGATTTTCTTGTGAGCAAAGGGCTCCACAGAAAAGCTGAGGAAGCCAAAGGATGGCATCATCAACATTGTCATCCTTCTTCTCCTCATCATCTTCTTGACCTAACAGTCAAGAGCAGGGACTCTTGATTGTGTGAGCTGGAGTGTCTGCTCGGACACTCTAGCTGTATATAGCTGTATGACCTGTAGAATGGACACTACTCTGCTTCTGTTTCCCCATCTATAAGATGGAGCTAATAATAGAACTTAATTCATACGCTAGTTGTAAGGGTTAGATGAGTTAACACGGTTAGTGGTTAATACAGGTAAAGCATGGCAGGAGCACTCAGTGAATGCTTGTTATTATTGTAGTTCTTACCATGGACAAAGCTACCATGTATTTAGGACATATTGTGCATTAGGCACAATACTGAGGACCGTGCAACAAGCATCTTAATTTTTCTGTCTCTATATAGAAGTCTACATAGATATTTCTATCTGTATATAGAGTGAGATCTATAAAGATGTGTGTGCGTGCGTGCGTGTGTGTGTGTGTGTGTGTGTGTGAATGGTACTTAGAGATATTAAGATTGCCCAAAGTCACTGAAATACCACAGTAGGGCTTCAAGCCCACATCTCTCTGACTCTCAAGCAGAAATTCTTCAACACAATGCAGAAGAACATGTTACTCTCCTTTGTGGCTTAGACAGTAGTCAGTGTTCCAGAACATGGGTAGGTTTGTCCCCTACTCATGGTCTCTAGTGCTCAGATGTGCAAGGACATGTGGCTTCTGCAGGAATGTGAGGGCCCAGCCACTGCAGAGCTTTTTTCTTCTTTAGAGGCCAGCCCATGTAGAAATAATAGGTATCATGCAGCCATGCTGATGCACACTGCAGCTGTGCTCTGGGGAGAAAATTCCTGCAGGCCTTGGCACATCATAGTCACAGAGGAGCAAAGTGGCTAGCAAATATTCAAGACCCCTCCTTTGTCCTTGAACTTCCAGTATCTGCAACTCTCCTGTACAAGGGACTCTGCTCTTAGGCTTGTATTCTAAGTACCTGGAATATAATAGGAAATTCAGGAAGCTAGGACAGGAGTGATAACCTGGGGATGACACAGGCTAGAAGGTTGTTGAGTTTGAGCAGGCTTAGTGCTTTCACAAATAACCCCCCACCCACCCCAGCCGCCAGCCTCAGTGGCTTAATACAGCAAAGGTCTTTTTCTTGCTCACATCACAGACCACACGGAATCAGCAGAAAGGGGGGATGAGGAAGAGTTGTTCTGCTCCATGCAGTCCTCCAGGGGCCCAGGCACCCTGCATTTAGTTGCTCCTCTATCTCCTAGATGCCTTGGAATCCTGGAGGCTTTGGAACTCTATGCTGGATCTTCTGCATCTGGCTGGCCAACAAGGCAAGAATGAGCCACCGTGGAATGCACAGAGGAGGTATTTAGGTTGCCAGGCCTGGAAATGACACACATCACTGCCATCCACCTTCCACTTGCCAAAACTCTCACAGACCTGCAAGGACAGAAATGTAATTAAGCTGTGTGTCCTAGGGGTGTGGGGGAATGGAAATTGATAAAATGCTAAGATTCTCTGCTACCCATTTCTTTGAGTATTTGCTGGGCATGTGTAACTTAAAACATGGCAGGGATTAATTTCTCCAACCTGGATTCCCCTTGGCACAGTCCAAATTTCCCACCACCTTGGAGTTCTGACACAAACGAAACAAAAGGAGGCAAATCTTTCAATGTTCTGTTCGGTCCCTCTTCATCTTGTCGAGTTCAGAAATACAAACTCCCTGGGGGAGCCTCTATTATTTTGAGAATGGCCCAGCTGTGCGTTTCAATTATACACCAAAGGAATTTGGATGCGTGGGTGCAGCCACACTAAGAAACTCTGCAAAGCAGGGCTCACCTAGAGGACACTCCTGCCACTTACATACCCTCCCCTCTCCATACATGCGTCTGGAGGTCCTGGGACAAAGCTTACCCAGGTAAGCATGAACTCTCTATGGAGCCAGCTCCCTCACCTGAGGTTTCTGGAGCCCACAGGAGATGGGCAACCTCCAAAGTACTGCCATTCTCCTGTGGCAAGTGCAGGAGCCAGGAGGACTGCAGTGCATCTGCTATTAATCCTGTGATTCTGCAAGTATTTGTTGAACAACAGTTGTGTGCCAGGTACATGAATAGGCAGCAGGATCTAAACAAGTAAATAAACAACAACAAAAAAACAATTAAAAGAAAGCTTTTGCCTAAGTAGAATTTATGGTCGAGGGGGAACGGTGTAACCAGAAAATAAGAAAATACAATTTAATGTGGTATCTGCTGAGATAGGGGAGGTAGAAAATGCTTCCAGAGCTCAGAAGGGGCATCTGAGCCAGGTTTCGGGAACCAGGGAAGGCTCTGCACCTTGAGCCATGCCTCAGCAGAGACCTGTAGGATGAGACGATGCTACTCACCCAGATGAAGAGGGCTAAAGATGTCTGATCAGAAAGTGAGAAGAGCATGAGAGCAACAGCCTAAAGAGAGAAACACCAAGTCATTCGGGAGGCTGGAGAATGGAGTTTGAAAGAAAAAAGGAGCAAAAGAAGCCTAGCAGAGAAGTATTGAATCCTATAGTGTCTCCTTAAGACATTTGGACATTATCCAAAGGGAAAGTGGACAGGTCCTGAAGAATTTAAAGGACAGGTTGGTGTAGAAAATTCACTCTCTGGCTGGCATTTGACAGGTCAAGGTCAGGGTGTGAGGCTGCAGTTGAGCAGAATGATGAGAAGACAGGCCCAGAGGAAGATGCAATAGGTATTGGTGGTGGGGGAGGGGTCCTTCCATGCCCAAAGTCCACATTCCAGCAGGCTTACCCATGAGGGCCCCCCAGGCTGCTACAGCAACAGCAACAGCAGTGACAGGTTAGATTGGGGCTGAGGTTCTGGCCTCATGTGCCCAGAGACCATGCACTTCTACAGCTGGCACATCTGGTGCAACTAGGAGCTCTGCCTGTGTGAGTGTGTCTCAGGAAGCCAGGGTGCTCTCCTCTCTATGCGACCCTGCAGGCAGCAGCACTTCCCTCGGGAGACATGGCCACATTCTGAGCATCAAACAGCCTCAGTATTTCATCTTGCAAGACTGCCCAAGCCTCCCTGTAGGGGCTCTTGCCAGCCCTGCATACCGTAGCCACTGCCAGATTAGCACAGTCTTGTGGGTGCAGGGTGAGAAAAGGGATAACATGGTGTAGGGCGGAAACATGGCCCCTGCCCAGTGAGCTTTGGGATGAGGTGCTGGTTAGAGCAGGTAGAGCTGCAGACAGCAGCCTGCCAGGAGAGGACTGGCAGAGACCTGGGGCCTCTGTAGCAGCATTTCACACACTCCCCTGGGCTTCCTACCCTTAGATTCAGGAATGGGTCAGAGGCGCTCCAAAGGGACCTCAGGTAGACTTTGGCAATGTCCTTAAGCAGGTGGCATAGGCAGCAGCCAAGGGCCAATTCAGCTGCTCCACCAGGTGGGTCTGCTTCTTGGAAGGTCACTTACCATTCAGGTGAGTTAGCCCAGCATAGGGATTTCGAGATGGAGTCTTTGAATCTCAAGGCCCGCTGGCATTTCTTTGGCTGTATCTTGCTGCTGCCTTTGATTCCAGTTTGTCTCTTTCCTCTCAAGGGAGACATTACTAATGTTCTTTTTCTTCCTCCTCAGCTAACTCCTATCAAATGAGTTCATCTACCCTCCCTGAAGCCTCCCTGTTGCGGGGCAGTTCAGGTGATGAAAGTTTCTCTTGGTGGGTGTCCCTTTTCTCAAGGGAGGGTGCAGACTCCTGTCCTGATCCTGTCCTTTCCTCTGGCACAAGAGTCACCCTAGATAATAACTTCTCATTCACAAATGAAATGACGATGATTAAATTATGAAATGTTTTCATTGTATCAAATTTCTCATTTTCTAAACATATTATAACTGAATTTTTATTTCATCTTCCTTCCATAGTCATTTCTGAAAATTATTTCTTATTCCATTTGTTACAGGTTTTTATAATTTTTTCATTCTATCATATCCCAGTCAGAAAATGTGGCTTGTGCCATTTGTACTCTTTGGAACATAATCAGATTTTCTTTGCAGCATACGATACCATCATCGGCTTTTGAATCCTTGATTTATCTATGAGTCAGGTGAAATACATCTTAGAACAGTTTCCAGGAAGCATAAGAAAGCGGCATACTTTCTACACCATTGCGTTTCCCTAAGTGTTTTTGTTTGTTTGTTTGTTTGTTTTTATGGCTTCACACATCAATAACAATTTAGCTGAACACAGAATTCTAGGGTCATGACCTTGCTCATTTAAGCTTCTGGAGATGGTGGTTCTGTGTTGGAGCAAAATCTAAGGCAAAGGGATGTTGCTTGCTTTGTAGGTACCCTGTTCTTCTGTTGAGATGCACGCAGGATAGTTTTTTTTAACTCCTCTAAATCACGCCATAATTTCTTCAGCCTAGGGCTCCCTGCGCTCTGAGAGCGCCGGAGCACCTCAGAGGAAGTGAGACAACACGTGGAGGGATGAGGGCGGTGGCGCTGCAAGCTCTGGCTTCTGGGAAGTTCCCCAAAGCGCATAGGGGGCAGCAAGCTTTCCGCAGTAATTTCCCAAGCTGCACTAAATATTATCAACAAGCACAATAACTCAGCCGTGTGCTCTGCGCTCTCATTTCCCTTCCATGAGCAGAGGCTTATTATAAATCAGTAGGATTTCTACAGCAAGGGCAAAAGTTGCATGTGTGGAATTGAGGAAATAAGAAGTTGAAACTTGAAAAGAATTTTTTAGCCATGTGATATTTTCTCCTCCAGGCTCTGTGTCTCAATGACAGCGTGTTCTCATCGATGCTCAACTTTCTTTGAGTTTTGCCTCTGTCCTTGCCTGAATCCAGAAAGTTTGGAGCCCTGTAACAAAATTGCTTAATTCCTTAAGCCACTCCCCCAACCACAAATAAGTCAGTACTAAAAGGCCACATGACTATACTTCAGAACCTAGACAGTGTACTCCAGGAAGAGGATCAGAAGAGGAGAAGATGGCACAGAGGTTGGTGGAGGGCTCAGAGAATCCCTGAACATGTTCAGGGGAGAAAGAGCAAGCAGGACTTGCTCAGTTTCCAGAAACAGCTCCACAGGACAGCCTCACAGGGAAATGGGCTATGCATTGCCCAGCTCCAGTGGTGCCCTTCCCACCCATGTTTCCGTGAATCCTCTGCAGTGCACACCTTGAGAACATGGATGGTGGCCCCTCCTAGAGGAAGCCCCCATGCCCAGGCTGGTGAGTTAAGAGCAGATCCAGGCTGGGCGCCATGGCTCACAGCTGTAATCCCAGCACTTTGGGAGGCCAAGGCAGGCGGATCACCTGAGGTCAGGAGTTCAAGACCAGCCTGGCCAACATAGTGAAACTCTGTCTCTACTAAAATACAAAAAAATTAGCCAGGCATGGTGGCAGGCACCTGTAATCCCAGCTTCTCAGGAGGCTGAGGCAGGAGAATCACTTGAACCCAGGAGGCGGAGGTTGCAGTGAGCTAAGATCACGCCACTGCACTCCAGCCTGGGCAACAGTACAAGACTTCATCTCAAAAAAAAAAAAAATGCAGACTCAAAATTGCTACATGAAGTGCCTAGGCTGATAAACAAAGCTGAAACTCTCAGTTAATATTTATTGTGGACTTAATATTTATGTCCCCCCAAAGTCTATATGTTGAAATCTAATCCCCAATGCGATAGTATACGGAAGTGGGACCCTTGAGAGATAATTAGGTCATTATGCTGGAGCCCACATAATGGGACTGGTTTCCTTATAAAGGGATGAATGGCCCAGAGATCTGTTTCTACCCTGTGACGACATGGCCACCATGAGAAGACGGCCATCTAGGAACCATGAAGCAAGCCCTCACCAGACACAGAATCTTCCAGCACTTTGATCTTGGACTTCCCAGTCTCCACTGTGAGACATAAATAGTCTTTATTTAAGTCTATGGTATTTTTATTACAGCAGGCCAAACTGACTAAGGCAATGTCTCAACATATTATACCGCAACACAATTGTTACCAGAAAGCACTGCTCTAACCTAGTAGTACAGGAAACAGAATGATCCTAAAATTTATCTATTCCTAAGTGTTTCCAGAAATAGTGGGTCTAAAAGACACTCACCAGATAAATGATTTAGCTATCAAATGAGTTTCTCTTGAGAAGCCTATCCTAGAATCTCAGTGCATGTTATTGTTTTAAAAGCTCTGAGAAGGCCTGCAATAAGAACACCACTGAACTTTATTTAGCCCAGTGGTTCCCAGATTATTTGGCCCTAGAGAACTCTTTTCAATTAATATTCATTAACGTTGGACAGAATATGGAACACACTTGGGAAAATACCGCTCTAAGAAAAACTTCCAGGCCAGGTGTGGTAGCTCATGTCTGTAATCCCAGCACTTAGGGAGGGCGAAGCAGGCATATCACTTGAGCCCAGGAGTTCAAGACCAGCCTGGGCAACAAAGGGGGTCCTTTTCTCTGCAAAAAAATACAAAAATTAGCTGGGTGTGATGGCACATGCTTGTAGTCCCAGCTACTTGGGAGGCTGAAGTGAGAGGATCACCTGAGCCCAGAGAGGTCGAGGCTATAGTGAGCCATGATCTTACCACTGAACTCCAGCCTGGGCAACAGAGTTGAGACTTTGTCTCAAAAAAAAAATAAAAATAAAAAACTTTACAGATCAAAAGATTTACACACTGCCTTCTGCTCTCAGTAAGGTCTCAGCAGGAAATTAATAAAAAAAGAAAGCTAAGTGTAACCTATTTATTGAATGAGCTGGACTTAGCACAGTGCAAGAAGAAACAAATTTTTCCCTTTTCATCTGATCTCTTCTATACTTGCTCAGCCAAACAATACATCTCTGTCCCTGAATAAAATCCCAGGGAGATGCCAGCACTTTCTCAACCAGTCTCAGGAATTAGCAAGCATCCTTATGTTCAGGGGCAAAAAAGGCCAATCAATTTGAATACCAAAACTTAAATCTCTCATCCAATTTAAAACTTTTCGCCCCAGACCACTGTATTAGAGACCAGAGAGAAAGTCCATGGTGGGAAAGTCTTTGGAAGGTTTGAGGTTTTTGTTTGTTTGTTTTGCCTTCTACTAAACTGTTCTCACAGGCTTTTTGATTCTTCCTCCCATGGACCACGTTGCTACTGGTTCTTCTGAGGGTGGGAAAGAGAGAAGAGCAATGAGAGAAGTGAAGAAAGTCAAAGTGTCTTTTATGCCTGGTGCTATCTCTGGTCTTTTCTGGGTTTTTTAATTCCCTTAGTCATGGCAAACACCCAATTATTGGCTCCTTTGTCCTGTGGGGGCATTTTGGGAGATTCTTCAAAGACCCTCAATGCCAGAGGTGAGATCTCCCATCTGCAGATTGCTGGCATGGATATTGCCTCTTTGAGCTCACCAGTAGAATGAAGCCTTAAGCTCCTGGTATAGGCAATCCACAAGGGAGGGGTCACCTCACCCCTCAAGGCCAGAATTTTGGGTGAAGAACCTTTCAGCATATCCACAGTCTGTCTCATTTCCCAGTGAGCCACATCTGCAGCTCATTCCCACTCCTATCTCCTTGCACAGCCATCTGGGACAACCCCAGAAAGCCTCCCACCTGTAAGTTTTTTCCAATTGTAAGTTAGGTTTCAGCCTCTACAGTCTCCAACATCCAGTGTCCTCTTTATGATTGTTTGAAGCTCCTCTTCTCTTGACTTGGTAATAGAGAAAAACTCCCTTTTGGGAGTGGGCAATGCCCAGCTCATTGGCACCTCTGTGGGGTTTGAGTTCCTAGGAAATAGACCCTGAATTAAAGATTTTTAATATGGATATTTATTGGTGAATGACTCACATAAGGAAGTAAAGGAGAAACACAAAGGGAAATCTTCATAACTTTGATCTAGGCAAAGATTTTTTTGGATATGAACCCAAAAGCACAGGTAACAAAAGCAAAAATATCAAATGGGATTGCATAAAATGAAAAGGCTTCTGCACAGCAAAAGAAACAACCAACAGAGTGAACAGACTATCTATAGAACAGAGGCAATATTTGTAAATCACACATCTGATAAGGGGTTAATATCCAAAATACATAAGGAACTCAACTAAGGGGTTAATATCCAAAATACGTAAAGAACTCAAACAACTCAATAGCAAGAAAACAAAAAACCCAATTTAAAAATTGGCAAAGAACCTGAAAAGATATTTCTATACAAATGGCCAAGTATATTTTTTAAATATTCAACATCACTAAACATCAAGGAAATGCAAAATAAAACCACAATGAGATGTCGCTTCACACCTGTTAGAATGGTTATTATCAAAAAGACAAGAGATAACAAATGTTGAAGAGGATGTGGGAAAAAGAGAATATTGGCACATGGTTGGTGGGAATGTAAATTAAGGCAGACATTATGAAAACACAGTACAGAGGTCCCTCAAAATATTAAAAATAGAACTACCATATGACCCAGGAATTCCACGTTTGGGTATATAATCAAAGGAAATGAAATCGGTTTGTAGAAAAGATACTGCACTCCCATGTTCACTGCAGCATTATTCACAATAGCCAAGATATAGAATCAACCTAAGTGTCCATCAATGGATAAATGGGTAAAGAAAATTTATACACAACATTATACACAACAGATTACAATTTGGCCTTAAAAAAGAAGGAAATCCTGTCATCTGCAACAACATGGGTAAACCTGGAGGTCAAGTCAGTATTCCAAGTGAAATAAGCCAGCCACAGAAAGACAAATACTGCATAATCTCATTTATATTTGGATTCTTAAAAAGGAAGGTAAGAATGGGGAGATGTGGGTCAAAGGATACAAAATTTCAGTTAGATGGGAAGTATAAGTTCAGAAGATCTTTGGTACAACATGGTGATTATAGTTAATAACAGTGTACTGCATATTTTGTAGAGATGGATCTCACTGTGTTGCCCAAGCTGTTCTCAAACTTCTAGGCTCAAGTGATCCTTCTGCCTCAGCCTCTCAGAGTGCTGGGATTATAGGTGTATGCCATACTGCCTGGCCACAACATATTGTATATTTGCAAATTGTGGAGTAGAATTTAAATGTTTCCACTACAAAGAAAGATAAGTGTGTGCACATGTTGATTTGCTTGATTTAGTCATTCCAAAATGTATACATACATCATATCAACATGCTGTACATTATAAATATGTACAATTTTAAAAAGTGAATTAAATTTTAGAAAAAGAAGTGAAAGAGCAGGATTGGGCAAAGGGAGAATCATATTTCTGTGCAGTTGCATCATCTTTCAGCTGATCTCCCAAGGAGCTCTCAAACTGGATTTTTCCCACACAAAGGCCACGGAAACAGGTCTCTGTACACCTTCATCCACCAGTCCTGGCTGCAGGCTGTCCGCAGAGAGGAGACATAAACTTGAACAAGGAAGCTCCCTCCATCCAAAGGAGTCCCCAGAGAAGGATGCTGCTGTGAAGGAAGCTGGGGGACTGAGTGCCTTGGTCCTGAAGGGGGCCTGAGTGGTGCACCCCAGCACAGCACCAACAATATTTCCCACTGCATGTCAAAAATGGGGAAGGCCCATTTAACAGCCTCCTCCAAAAAACACGCACTTTTTTGTATTGTGCTGATTTGTGTTGTAGTTTGCCTCTTGTGAAGAGGAACATCAGGTACTTGTTAAGCTGATCAGTTAACAACAGCGCAATCCCCAGGAAGATTGCTAATGTGTACTTGTTCTTTCCTGGTTCTTCTCTTCATTGTCTGTGTCCTATTTTGAGCAGCTCACATCACCCCTCTAGTCTCAGTTTCCTTAACTATAAAACAGGATGAGAAAAACTATGCTTCCTGCCTCTCTTTATCTGTGGTGGGATATTCATGAGATGACTGATACCCTCAAAGCAAGGGCTTTGGAATCCGCTACAGAGAGATCAAGCCTTCTTCAAAGTACTAACATGAAATTGGTAGGCGTGCTGAGCTTTTTCTGGATAAGCCCCATTAAGGTTTGGTGATCAGGCATCCTAAAAAATAGCACTGATAAAAGAACTTTTTCAGAGACAGTCTTCATTCCTGCTTGGGTCAGGGAGGAATGGGGGTTGCGTGTGTACCACCTTGAGGGCTAAGGGCTGAATATTGAAGGCTGCATCTCAGGAAAGGGGGCATCAGATGGGGCAGTGATGCTACCCAGCCCATCAAAAAGACTCTGTCACAGAAGAGCCAGCATGATGGCTTAGCTTCAACTCTGCTATTCATGAGGATGTGAGACTTTGTAAGTCACTCCTGTACTGGAATCCATTCCGTATCTGTGAAATGAAAGCATGATCCCGGGCCAGGATTTTCAAACTCTTTTAATAACAGTACTCTGTTTCAATTGGAAATTTTTTTCAAACCCTAGTACAGTAGTCCCCCTTTATCTTTGGGGGGTAGATTCCAAGACTTCCAGTAGATGCCTGAAGCTGCAGATAATACCAAACCCTATGTTTTTTCCTATACATACTTATGATTACATTTATTTTACTAATTAGGCACAGATAGAGAGTAGCAACAATAACTAATAATAAAGTAGAACCATTATAACTATACACTGTAATAAAAGTTATGTGAATGTGCACTCTCTCTCTCTCTCAATATCTTATTGTACTGTACCCTGAGTAACCGAAACTGTGGAAACCAAAACCATGGGTAAGGGGAAACTAGTGTATATGAAGGCATTACAGAGGTTCCTCATGATGTTTAATTGTAGGCTAATAATGCAAAATTTTCTCCAAATTTTGTAAAAGTCATTTGAAGCACATTAATGCAATCATTCACTCAAAAAATAGTTCCCACATGTCTTCCATGTGCCAGGCACAGTAATAGACAGGGTATTCAATAATGTGCTACAGGCTGGACACCCAGCACAGTTTCTGACCTCCTAGAATGTATAGCCAGTTGGGTGAGCCAGACAAGACATAGGCAATTACAATGCAGTATGATAAGTGCTCCAACAGGAGGATTTTACAGCCTGTCAGAGAGGATTTGAACCCAGCATTGGCAATGTGGAGGAGTCGTGGCTGATGTTTCAGAAACACTGGATCTAAAGGATGTGTTAGAGTTAACTAGCCACTGAAGAGAGGAGAACCTTCCGGGTAGAAAGCATTCCATGTACAGAAGGCCAGAATTGAAAGACAGTGACGCATTTGAAGAGCTGAATAAAGATCAGTGGGAAATGAAAGGAAATCAGTGAGAGCAGGAGATGGGGCCTGGGAATTAAGCACTTTATACACCAGAAAAGGTCAGTTGTGAAATACCAAGAAAGCTGGACTTCATCCTAAGTGCCATGAGAAGCCACTGATGGATTTAAGCAATGTTTAAGAGTCTAGGTGACCTCCCAGGGTGCTCTCATCACTAATGCTTGCAATAACAGACTTCATTAAGCCCAACCAAGAAATTCTTCCACATTAATTGGGCCATTCAGCAAATATTTGCTAAATGTAATTTAAACGTGATTATTTAAATCACAAAGATTTAGCGACACACCTTTTAGGGAAAAAGAGATAAAGGTAAACATTTCTGGCAGAAAACCCAATTTATATTTCTCAAAGAGCAGCATCACGTCTCCAGTAGGAGAGAAAAGGAAAGCAGAAGATTAAGATGGGTACACCTAAGAAAAAGGGCACTGGTGCCTAAAACTAAGCAGGTAAAGACTGGGATACTGTGAGTCTAAGAAACAAAAGACAGCAGAAGAGCAAGAGAACTGCAAAGCACTCAACAGGAAGATCGATTGGGAAGCTGAAGGCAGGGCAGCTAAGAAGATGAGCACCCAGCCCCCAAAGACTGGACCAGAGAATGAGGGCTCTAAGACAAGCTGGGCAGTGTCTCCAGTAGGAATTAAGCCTCCTAGGAGACAGTAAAAATCTTTCATTCAAAAGATGAGCCACTAGCACCCCAACTTTGGTCGACTATTACATTGTTAGTCTCAAAAAAAAAAACAAAAAACAAAACCTACTTCTCATCTTTTATACCCTTGCAGAATAACCTCCCAATTTGGGCTTGGCCATGTCACTCGCTTTGGCTAATGGAACATTAGCAGGGTTAATGCAGAGGCTTCAACTCTTGGAATGCCCTCTCTCAAAACCCAGTTCCCCTGCTGTGAGGAAATTCAGGCAACCCTGTTGGAGAAAAGGACCACGTGGAGAGGCTCTGAAGGATGACATTGTGTGGAGAAAGAAGCGACAGGAAAGGGAAACTTGGTGCCCCAGCTGAGCTCCCAGCTGAACGCAGGTGCCTGAAGCAGCCCAGCCAAGGTGACATAGAGCAGAAACAGCCAAGGCAGCCTCAGAATCATGAGTCATAATAAATTGTTGTCATTTTAAGTCGCTAAATTTTGCAGTAGTTTGTCATGTGGAAAAACTACAAGAAAAAAATGGAAAATAAGGGGCATGTGGGGTTGAAACCAGAAGATTATACCTATGAGTTTCAGAAATAGCATTTAGAGAGAATTGGCGGGGGAAGTGGGGACTGTGAAGTAATCAAAGAAATAAAAAGAAAAATTCTCGTAATTGAAAAAAGATTATATTCATATTAAAGTTGCTCACCGAAGACTAAGCAGTTTAGAAAGAAAAAACACACCTAGAACACAATGGTCATATTTCAGATATTTAGATATAGATACAAATATATGTATTTATTTACATATATAAATAAATATAAATTCCTCAAAAAATTCCACAGATTTTTTCAAACTCACCCAGAGTGGAATGAAAATCAGACTGGCATTAGATTTCTCATTGGAAGAATTTTATACCAAAAACAAAATAGTAATAAACAGGAATAAACAGGCAAATCTTCAAAATTCTGAGGAAAGTTATTTTGAACCTAAAATTCTATATCCAGCCAAACTAATATTGAAGAAGGAAGTAAAACATAGATATATCTGGACAGGCAAGGATCCATAAATGTTATCTCCTCACAGAATATCTCTGAAAGAACTGAGTATATACTAGAAATATGAAGACAAATTTTAAAAATTATGTGAAATATAAGAAATAAATGAAAACGAATCACTAAAACTTGTAGTTAAGTATAAATAACCATTGATCCAAAATGTGGGGAAAAAAGAGTTAACAAATAACTGTATGAAACTGAAATCCTGGGTAATCTCAAATGAAATATGAGGCTAGGAAGAGAAGGAAGAAAAATATCATGTTAGGGAGGGATTGTCGGGGAGTTAAAGATTCTGAAGGACACAGCTCCAAAATGGGGAAAATTAGGCAAAGAACACTTGATCAAGTCAGGGGAGTTAAAAGGGAGCAGGAGAAAAAATGACAGACAGAAAAAACAAGGTGGCAGAATGAGTTTAAACTTTGGAAATCATAATACAGTTTTTTGACTGGCTTTATTTCCATTAACTCATTGGTTGGGTTTAAAAAAAACATCCAGCTATATATGTTGCTAATGTGACACACTGAAAAGAAAAAGAGACAGGATGTTAAAAACAAAGACACAAAAGATGTACATATCAAGCAAATGCTAATGGGTTTGTCCATCTGGGGATTGTGTTCAATGATGTAGCAGGAAGTGGCACTGGAATGTCAATTTGGGCCAGCATTTTGATTTCGTCATAGCTGTTGTCAAAACACTTGGGTATATTGACCAAAAAACTCAATGTACATAGCTTCAAAATTGAGGAAACACACATGCTATTTTGCTCAATTTGAAATATTCTGAGGAAGCTCAACTATGCCAAGAAACCAGAACCTTCATGTGGCTGGCCATGTCTTCCAGCTTCTCCTGTCAAAGAAGGAAAAAGGGTAGTGGGGTGGTGCTGGGAGACCACTACACATCCACTGCTTCTGTGAGCTGCACCGTTTGGAGCTCCGGCAGGAGTCACAGACTTGTCTGTGAATAACATCTGAGGTCAGTGAAGTCTCTACACAGTTCTCCCTGGGTCCCCAGACCAGCATCTGTAGTCCACTACTGGGGATCAGGAGGTACAAACAATGATCTGCTGGCCAAATCTTGCCTGAGAGTATTTTGTGTAACTCTCACAGTGGTTTTATTTTTTCAGTTTTGAATTAACTGCCAACACTTACTAATTGAAAATTTTCATTTAAAAAATATGGATGTCTGGACTTTCTTGAAAAATCAGATCTGGCCATGTTGGGCTAACATTCCCACAAGGCAGCAGTCAGTCAGATCAAAGAAGCAGCTGCTTCCCTTAGAAGGGGTATGCCCATCTGTCCCCCACCTGCCATTGCCCCTTGCTCTGTGTGGTCTCATGACAGCTGCCGTTGGACTCAGATGGTCTCTAGTCTTCAAGCCAGTGTCCAAACCCAATTCTCACGAGATCCCAGCTCTCAGTCTCTCACAGGGACAACATCCATTCTCCAAGTAGGAAGGGATCCTTCAGACTGAACCCTATTATTTACCACTGAGGAGACAGAGGCCCAGAGAGAGAAGTGACTATGCAGTGTCACATTGTGCATAGCACCAAGCAGGGCCAGTACCATGGTCTTCCCACTCCAGTCCACGTTCCTTCTTCCTTTGACTCAAAAACTTCCTAGGCTCATTGGCAAGGTTCTTCAGGGAAACAGTTCACTCACTCCAGGCTCTTATACAACAGGACTTGTCAGGATACATGTAATGCATCTGCTTACTTCCTTTTCTTTCCACTAAATCAAGGGGCAAATATATCTCAGTTGCTATTAGTAACCTTCGAAATTCCCATTTCAGTTTGTTGAGGATGTGGAGAAATTGGAATCCTTGGGCACTGCTGGTGGGAATGTAAAAATGATGCAGCCATTGTGGAAAATATTATGGTAGTTCCTCAAAGAATTAAAAGAATTACCATATGATACAGCAATTCCACTTCTGGGTATACACCCCGAAGTTTTGAAAGCAGAAACTCAAACAGACATTAGTGCATCCATGTTTACAGCACAGTTACTCACAACAGTGAAAAGGTGGCAGCAACCCACATATCCATCAACTGACGAATAAAGATAATGTGCTAGATACATACAATGGAAAACATTATTGTCCTTTAAAAAGGAAGGAAATTCTGGCACATGCTACAACATTAAATAAGCCAGTCACAAAAATACAAATACTGTATGACTCCACTTACACGAGATACCTGAAACAGACAAATTCATATGGACAAAGTGTGTGTGTGTGTGTGTGTGTGTGTGTGTGTGTGTGTGTGTGTGTGAGCTCTTATTGTTGATACCATTATTGTATGTTTGATTGTTAGATATTCTGATACTGCTTCTCACCTGTTTTTCACTACATGAAGCAGAGCTAGATCTAAAGAGGAGAACAAAACTGTCTTATTCTCTCATGCCTTTAAAATCTTGTCTCCATATCTTAAAACGTATTTGCCACGTATGCATAAACATGTCTATTAATGGAAATCGTAGAGTGTTCTGACACTACTGGGATTGTTTTGATGATGATTTGATGACATTCTCTGCAAAACTCTGCTCAGCATACTGAGAAGAGGGGACAAGAAGGGTCCAGGTAAATGCTTCCAGAGGATGTAGAAAGGCTGATCACAACTTCATTGCTGCTGCTCTTCCTATTTCTACCTTCCAGGCCTATTGTCCAGAAGTTCTTCTCCCATTATGTCCTGGCATGACTATCCATGTGTCCATCTTCCTCTTCTAGGTGCACTCTAGAAGAAGGCTGTGAGTATCCTCCCCAGACAATCCTGAGTCCCTTTAGCCCTTCTTAAAGACAAGCTAAGCATGGATGCCAAGCTAGCTTCTCAGGCCTTTCCCATTGCTGCCCACATGTCCCCAAGTGCTGCTTCCATGCCATCCCTTTCCATCCCCATTCCCATTATCCTAGCAGCCAGCTCTGTGCCTGCTTGGTTGAAGAAGTACTCAGACGATGCAGTTGTGCTAACCCTTGATCATGTCAGACTTCTGACATGGCTACCACTTACAGCTTTCCGGTGGAACAAGGACAGAGGACACTGATGATACCACTCCTTCTGGCTCACAGGGTTGGAGAACCTATTCAGCAAGCCTGCTTTTTCATCTCTAAAGTGAATGTCTTTCCTCCCATCACTTACAAATGTAAAGTGGCTGTCACCCTCATGCACCTTGAAAGGAAGGCAAATATGCAGCGCATGATCCCCTCTGCCCTGTTCCTCTCATGATGTGGTCCTACAAACTCAAAGGAAACCTGTCTCACCTCTGTGAGTAATCCTGAGTGAGTCCTGTCTCTCCACTCTCAGCCCAGTCTGTACTCAAATTAAAAATCCTCAAAGAGCAAGAAGCTGTCCGCTGCAGGAAAACCCAGAGCTTCCAAGCAGCAGCCAGAAAAAATTTACCCCTGCTGGATCCAGAGTGTCTAGGGAGTACAAATGTAATAACGTCTCTAACCCAGCTCACAGATTGACTTGCAAATGTGCCTTGTCATGGCACTGCATGTTCCCTCTGGAATTCAGGGCTATTTCTTTGTGCTCTTGCTGAGTGTTCGTTTGGATATTGGTTCTATTCCCTTGGATTCCCAGTCTGACCCAGGCAGCTGTGCTGCAGTGTTTCTGCCTCCACATCAAGCAAAGCAGTCTTGCAGGCACTTGTGTTAATCATGCATATAATCTGATAGCCTTTATAGCCCCTGCATGAGTAAGGTGCCCCAGCCAGCCTGATGTTCAACCTCTGGCTCCCTCTGCCAGAGCCTGCAAGGATACTTCACCCTCACTGATCAACTTCTACTTCTAATAAGGTTTGAGTAGTTTGGAAAAATTGTGGGACCATCTCCACATGGTGTGATTCTCAGACCCACGTTCAGGAGAAGCACTCTGTCAGGAACCTCCCTCCAATATGCTTATTATTTCCAGACAGCTGGAATTGCACCATCAAAGTTGGGAAGCCTGCAATTGACTAAACAGGGAGAATGGCACGTACATTAACATCCTGATCACCCCTTCCCTGATAATGTAGAAAATATCCACCAAAAACCACAAGTAAACAGAAATAAAAAGACTTATTCTAATCAGAAAGTTTAACAACTCTGATTTAAAAAGGCAGGAAAGGGTCTCAGATGACCCTAACACTTGAAATGTACCTTGTATCAAATATCAGGATTAAAAAGAGAGTTGTTGTGCACGATCATGCATTATTAGATCACCAAAAGGGGCTTTGCAACCATAAAACGAAAAGAACAAAAAACTATTTCCCCAGGAGAACAAATAAGAATTAGAAGTGATAGGCCAGGTGTGGTGGCTCATGCCTGTAATCCTAGCACTTTGGGAGGCTGAGGCGGGTGGATCACTTGATGTCAGGAGTTTGAGATCAGCCTGGCCAAAATGGTGAAACCCTGTCTATACTAAAAATACAAAAATTAGCCAGGCGTGATGACACATGCCTGTAATCCCAGCTATTCGGGAGGCTGAGGCTGGAGAATCACTTGAACCCGGGAGGCGGAGGTTGCAGTGAGCTGGAGGTTGCAGTAAGCCGAGATGGTGCCACTGCACTCCAGCCTGGGCAACAGAGTGAGACTCCATCTGAAAAAAAAAAAAAAAAAGAAGAAGAATTAGAAGTGATAAGAGAGCTGCAGAAGTTCAGGTTATTAGAATAGAATATCAACTCAAACAAACAGAATAATAAAGAAATTAAGCCAGGCATGGGAGTGCGCCACCATAGTCCCAGGTACTCAGGACGCTAAGACGGGAGGATTGCTGGTGCCCAGGAGTTCAAGAGCAGCCTCAGCAACACAGTGAGAGACCCTGTCTCTAAAAAAAGAAAAAAGAATTATGAGAGAAAAAAGAAAATGAAGAAAGATAAATATTAAGAGGAATTGCTAAATTCTTGAATATTTCAATTATC